>NC_000018.10:19013412-19182930 GCF_000001405.40 Homo sapiens
TGGACATTTGGAGCGCTTTCCGGCCTAAGGTGAAAAAGGACATATCTTCCCATAAAAACTAGACAGAAGCATTCTCAGAAACTTACTCGTGATGTGTGTCCTCAACTAAAGGAGTAGAACCTTTCTATTCATAGAGAAGTTTTGAAACGCTCTTTTTGTGGAATCTCCAAGTGGATATTTGGCTAGTTTTGAGGATTTCGTTGGAAGCGGGAATTCATACAAATTGCAGACTGCAGCGTTCTGAGAAACATCTTTGTGATGTTTGTATTCAAGACACAGAGATGAACATTCCCTATCATAGAGCGTGTTGGAATCACTCCTCTTGTAGTATCTGGAAGTGGACATTTGGAGCGCTTTCAGGCCTATGTTGAAAAAGGAAATATCTTCCCATAACAACTAGACAGAAGCATTCTCAGAAACTTGTTTGTGATGTGTGCCCTCTACTGACAGAGTTGAACCTTTCTTTTCATAGAGCAGTTTTGAAACACTCTTTTTGTAGAATCCGCAAGAGGATATTTGCATAGCTTTGAGGATTTCGTGGGAAACGGGATTGTCTTCAGGTAAAATCTAGACAGAAGCATTCTCAGAAACTTCTTTGGGATGTTTGCATTCAAGTCACAGAGTAGAACATTCCCTTTGGTAGAGCAGGTTTGAAACACTCTTTTTGTAGTATCTGGAAGTGGACATTTGGAGCGCTTTCAGGCCCATGTTGGAAAGGGAAATATCTTCCCGTAACAACTAGGCAGAAGCATTCTCAGAAACTTATTTGAGATGTGTGTACTCAAGTAAGAGAACTGAACCACCGTTTTGAAGGAGCAGTTTTGAAACACTCTTTTTCTGGAATCTGCAAGAGTATATTTGCCTAGCCTTGAGGATTTCGTTGGAAACGGGATTGTCTTCAGACAAAATCTAGACAGAAGCATTCTCAGAAACTTCTTTGAGATGTTTGCATTCAAGTCACAGAGTAGAACATTCCCTTTGGTAGAGTAGGTTTGAAACACTCTTTTTTTAGTATATGGAAGTGGACATTTGGAGCGCTTTCAGGCCTACGTTGGAAAAGGAAATATCTTCCCATAACAACTAGACAGAAGCATTCTCAGAAACTAGTTTCTGATGTGTGTCCTCAACTAACACAGTTGAACATTTCTTTAGACAGAACAGTTTTGAAACTCTCTTTTTGTGGAATCTGCAAGTGGCTATTTGGCTAGATTTGAGGATTTCGTTGGAAACGGGATTACATATAAAAAGCAGACAGCAGCATTCTCAGAAAGTTCTTTGTGATGATTGCATTCAAGTCACAGAATTGAACATTCCCTTTCACAGAGCAGGTTTGAAACACTCTTTTTATAGTGTGTGTAAGTGGACATTTGGAGCACTTTCCGGCCTAAGGTGAAAAAGGAAATATCTTCCCATAAAAACTAGACAGAAGCATTCTCAGAAACTTACTCGTGATGTGTGTCCTCAACTAAAGGAGTAGAACCTTTGTTTTCATAGAGAAGTTTTGAAACGCTCTTTTTGTGGAATCTGCAAGTGGATATTTGGCTAATTTTGAGGATTTTGTTGGAAGCGGGAATTCATACAAATTGCAGACTGCAGCGTTCTGAGAAACATCTTTGTGATGTTTGTATTCAGGACACAGAGATGAACATTCCCTATCATAGAGCAGGTTTGAATCACTCCTTTTGTAGTATCTGGAAGTGGACATTTGGAGCGCTTTCAGGCCTATGTTGGAAAAGGAAATATCTTCCCATAACAACTAGACAGAAGCATTCTCAGAAACTTATTTGAGATGTGTGTACTCAACTAAGAGAATTGAACCACCGTTTTGAAGGAGCAGCTTTGAAACACTCTTTTTCTGGAATCTGCAAGTGGATATTTGGCTAGCTTTGGGGATTTCGCTGGAAGCGGGAATACATATAAAAAGCACACAGCAGCGTTCTGAGAAACTGCTTTCTGATGTTTGCATTCAAGTCAAAAGTTGAACACTCCCTTTCATAGAGCAGTCCTGAAACACTCCTTTTGTAGTATCTGGAACTGGACTTTTGGAGCGCTTTCAGGGCTAAGGTGAAAAAGGAAATATCTTCCCATAAAAACTGGACAGAAGCATTCTCAGAAACTTGTTTATGCTGTATCTACTCAACTAACAAAGTTGAACCTTTCTTTTGATAGAGCAGTTTTGAAATGGTCTTTTTGTGGAATCTGCAAGTGGATATTTGGCTAGTTTTGAGGATTTCGTTGGAAGCGGGAATTCATACAAATTGCAGACTGCAGCGTTCTGAGAAACATCTTTGTGATGTTTGTATTCAGGACAGAGAGTTGAACATTCCCTATCATAGAGCAGGTTGGAATCACTCCTTTTGTAGTATCTGGAAGTGGACATTTGGAGCGCTTTCAGGCCTATGTTGAAAAAGGAAATATCTTCCCATAACAACTAGACACAAGCATTCTCAGAAACTTGTTTGTGATGTGTGCCCTCTACTGACAGAGTTGAACCTTTCTTTTCATAGAGCAGTTTTGAAACACTCTTTTTGTAGAATCTGCAAGAGGATATTTGCATAGCTTTGAGGATTTCGTGGGAAACGGGATTGTCTTCAGGTAAAATCTAGACAGAAGCATTCTCAGAAACTTCTTTGGGATGTTTGCATTCAAGTCACAGAGTAGAACATTCCCTTTGGTAGAGCAGGTTTGAAACACTCTTTTTGTAGTATCTGGAAGTGGACATTTGGAGCGCTTTCAGGCCTATGTTGGAAAGGGAAATATCTTCCAGTAACAACTAGGCAGAAGCATTCTCAGAAACTTATTTGAGATGTGTGTACTCAAATAAGAGAATTGAACCACCGTTTTGAAGGAGCAGTTTTGAAACACTCTTTTTCTGTATTCTGCAAGAATATATTTGCCTAGCCTTGAGGATTTCGTTGGATACGGGATTGTCTTCAGATAAATTCTAGACAGAAGCATTCTCAGAAACTTCTTTGGGATGTTTGCATTCAAGTCACAGAGTAGAACATTCCCTTTGGTAGAGCAGGTTTGAAACACTCTTTTTTTAGTATATGGAAGTGGACATTTGGAGCGCTTTCAGGCCTACGTTGGAAAAGGAAATATCTTCCCATAACAACTAGACAGAAAGCATTCTCAGAAACTAGTTTCTGATGTGTGTCCTCAACTAACACAGTTGAACATTTCTTTAGACAGAACAGTTTTGAAACTCTCTTTTTGTGGAATCTGCAAGTGGCTATTTGGCTAGATTTGAGGATTTCGTTGGAAACGGGATTACATATAAAAAGCAGACAGCAGCATTCTCAGAAAGTTCTTTGTGATGATTGCATTCAAGTCACAGAATTGAACATTCCCTTTCACAGAGCAGGTTTGAAACACTCTTTTTGTAGTGTGTGTAAGTGGACATTTGGAGCACTTACCGGCCTAAGGTGAAAAAGGAAATATCTTCCCATAAAAACTAGACAGAAGCATTCTCAGAAACTTACTCGTGATGTGTGTCCTCAACTAAAGGAGTAGAACCTTTCTTTTCATAGAGAAGTTTTGAAACGCTCTTTTTGTGGAATCTGCAAGTGGATATTTGGCTAGTTTGGAGGATTTCGTTGGAAGCGGGAATTCATACAAATTGCAGACTGCAGCGTTCTGAGAAACATCTTTGTGATGTTTGTATTCAGGACACAGAGTTGAACATTCCCTATCATAGAGCAGGTTGGAATCACTCCTTTTGTAGTATCTGGAAGTGGACATTTGGAGCGCTTTCAGGCCTATGTTGGAAAAGGAAATATCTTCCCATAACAACTAGACAGAAGCATTCTCAGAAACTTATTTGAGATGTGTGTACTCAACTAAGAGAATTGAACCACCGTTTTGAAGGAGCAGTTTTGAAACACTCTTTTTCTGGAATCTGCAAGTGGATATTTGGCTAGCTTTGGGGATTTCGCTGGAAGCGGGAATACATATAAAAAGCACACAGCAGCGTTCTGAGAAACTGCTTTCTGATGTTTGCATTCAAGTCAAAAGTTGAACACTCCCTTTCATAGTGCAGTCCTGAAACACTCCTTTTGTACTATCTGGAACTGGACTTTTGGAGCGCTTTCAGGGCTAAGGTGAAAAAGGAAATATCTTCCCATAAAAACTGGACAGAAGCATTCTCAGAAACTTGTTTATGCTGTATCTACTCAACTAACAAAGTTGAACCTTTCTTTTGATAGAGCAGTTTTGAAATGCTCTTTTTGTGGAATCTGCAAGTGGATATTTGGCTAGTTTTGAGGATTTCGTTGGAAGCGGGAATTCATACAAATTGCAGACTGCAGCGTTCTGAGAAACTTCTTTGTGATGTTTGTATTCAGGACACAGAGTTGAACATTCCCTATCATAGAGCAGGTTGGAATCACTCCTTTTGTAGTATCTGGAAGTGGACATTTGGAGCGCTTTCAGGCCTATGTTGAAAAAGGAAATATCTTCCCATAACAAGTAGACACAAGCATTCTCAGAAACTTGTTTGTGATGTGTGCCCTCTACTGACAGAGTTGAACCTTTCCTTTCATAGAGCAGTTTCGAAACACTCTTTTTGTAGAATCTGCAAGAGGATATTTGCATAGCTTTGAGGATTTCGTGGGAAACGGGATTGTCTTCAGGTAAAATCTAGACAGAAGCATTCTCAGAAACTTCTTTTGGATGTTTCTATTCAAGTCACAGAGTAGAACATTCCCTTTGGTAGAGCAGGTTTGAAACACTCTTTTTTTAGTATATGGAAGTGGACATTTGGAGCGCTTTCAGGCCTATGTTGGAAAGGGAAATATCTTCCCGTAACAACTAGGCAGAAGCATTCTCAGAAACTTATTTGAGATGTGTGTACTCAACTAAGAGAATTGAACCACCGTTTTGAAGGAGCAGTTTTGAAACACTCTTTTTCTGTAATCTGCAAGAGTATATTTGCCTAGCCTTGAGGATTTCGTTGGAAACGGGATTGTCTTCAGATAAAATCTAGACAGAAGCATTCTCAGAAACTTCTTTGGGATGTTTGCATTCAAGTCACAGAGTAGAACATTCCCTTTGGTAGAGCAGGTTTGAAACACTCTTTTTTTAGTATATGGAAGTGGACATTTGGAGCGCTTTCAGGCCTACGTTGGAAAAGGAAATATCTTCCCATAACAACTAGATAGAAGCATTCTCAGAAACTAGTTTCTGATGTGTGTCCTCAAATAACACAGTTGAACTTTTCTTTACACAGAACAGTTTTGAAACACTCTTTTTGTGGAATCTGCAAGTGGATATTTGGCTAGATTTGAGGATTTCGTTGGAAACGGGATTACATATAAAAAGCAGACAGCAGCATTCTCAGAAAGTTCTTTGTGATGACTGCATTCAAGTCACAGAATTGAACATTCCCTTTCACAGAGCAGGTTTGAAACACTCTTTTTGTAGTGTGTGTAAGTGGACATTTGGAGCGCTTTCCGGCCTAAGGTGAAAAAGGAAATATCTTCCCATAAAAACTAGACAGAAGCATTCTCAGAAACTTACTCGTGATGTGTGTCCTCAACTAAAGGAGTAGAACCTTTCTTTTCATAGAGAAGTTTTGAAACGCTCTTTTTGTGGAATCTGCAAGTGGATATTTGGCTAGTTTGGAGGATTTCGTTGGAAGCGGGAATTCATACAAATTGCAGACTGCAGCGTTCTGAGAAACATCTTTGTGATGTTTGTATTCAGGACACAGATTTGAACATTCCCTATCATAGAGCAGGTTGGAATCACTCCTTTTGTAGTATCTGGAAGTGGACATTTGGAGCGCTTTCAGGCCTATGTTGGAAAAGGAAATATCTTCCCATAACAACTAGACAGAAGCATTCTCAGAAACTTATTTGAGATGTGTGTACTCAACTAAGAGAATTGAACCACCGTTTTGAAGGAGCAGTTTTGAAACACTCTTTTTCTGGAATCTGCAAGTGGATATTTGGCTAGCTTTGGGGATTTCGCTGGAGGCGGGAATACATATAAAAAGCACACAGCAGCGTTCTGAGAAACTGCTTTCTGATGTTTGCATTCAAGTCAAAAGTTGAACACTCCCTTTCATAGAGCAGTCCTGAAACACTACTTTTGTAGTATCTGGAACTGGACTTTTGGAGCGCTTTCAGGGCTAAGGTGAAAAAGGAAATATCTTCCCATAAAAACTGGACAGAAGCATTCTCAGAAACTTGTTTATGCTGTATCTACTCAACTAACAAAGTTGAACCTTTCTTTTGATAGAGCAGTTTTGAAATGCTCTTTTTGTGGAATCTGCAAGTGGATATTTGGCTAGTTTTGAGGATTTCGTTGGAAGCGGGAATTCATACAAATTGCAGACTGCAGCGTTCTGAGAAACATCTTTGTGATGTTTGTATTCAGGACAGAGAGTTGAACATTCCCTATCATAGAGCAGGTTGGAATCACTCCTTTTGTAGTATCTGGAAGTGGACATTTGGAGCACTTTCCGGCCTAAGGTGAAAAAGGAAATATCTTCCCATAAAAACTAGACAGAAGCATTCTCAGAAACTTGTTTGTGATGTGTGCCCTCTACTGACAGAGTTGAACCTTTCTTTTCATAGAGCAGTTTTGAAACACTCTTTTTGTAGAATCTGCAAGAGGATATTTGCAAAGCTTTGAGGATTTAGTGGGAAACGGGATTGTCTTCAGGTAAAATCTAGACAGAAGCATTCTCAGAAACTTCTTTGGGATGTTTGCATTCAAGTCACAGAGTAGAACATTCCCTTTGGTAGAGCAGATTTGAAACACTCTTTTTGTAGTATCTGGAAGTGGACATTCGGAGCGCTATCAGGCCCATGTTGGAAAGGGAAATATCTTCCCATAACAACTAGGCAGAAGCATTCTCAGAAACTTATTTGAGATGTGTGTACTCAACTAAGAGAATTGAACCACCGTTTTGAAGGAGCAGTTTTGAAACACTCTTTTTCTGGAATCTGCAAGAGGATATTTGCCTAGCCTTGAGGATTTCGTTGGAAACGGGATTGTCTTCAGATCAAATCTAGACAGAAGCATTCTCAGAAACTTCTTTGGGATGTTTGCATTCAAGTCACAGAGTAGAACATTCCCTTTGGTAGAGCAGGTGTGAAACACTCTTTTTTTAGTATATGGAAGTGGACATTTGGAGCGCTTTCAGGCCTACTTTGGAAAACGAAATATCTTCCCATAACAACTAGACAGAAGCATTCTCAGAAACTAGTTTCTGATGTGTGTCCTCAACTAACACAGTTGAACATTTCTTTAGACAGAACAGTTTTGAAACACTCTTTTTGTGGAATCTGCAAGTGGCTATTTGGCTAGATTTGAGGATTTCGTTGGAAACGGGATTACATATAAAAAGCAGTCAGCAGCATTCTCAGAAAGTTCTTTGTGATGATTGCATTCAAGTCACAGAATTGAACATTCCCTTTCACAGAGCAGGTTTGAAACACTCTTTTTGTAGTGTGTGTAAGTGGACATTTGGAGCACTTACCGGCCTAAGGTGAAAAAGGAAATAATCTTCCCATAAAAACTAGACAGAAGCGTTCTGAGAAACTGCTTTCTGATGTTTGCACTCAAGTCAAAAGTTGAACACTCCCTTTCATAGAGCAGTCCTGAAACACTCCTTTTGTAGTATCTGGAACTGGACTTTTGGAGCGCTTTCAGGGCTAAGGTGAAAAAGGAAATATCTTCCCATAAAAACTGGACAGAAGCATTCTCAGAAACTTGTTTATGCTGTATCTACTCTACTAAAAAAGTTGAACCTTTCTTTTGATAGAGCAGTTTTGAAATGCTCTTTTTGTGGAATCTGCACGTGGATATTTGGCTAGATTTGAGGATTTCGTTGGAAGCTGGAATACATACAAATTGCAGACTGCAGCATTCTCAGAAACTTATTTGAGATGTGTGTACTCAACTAAGAGAATTGAACCACCGTTTTGAAGGAGCAGTTTTGAAACACTCTTTTTCTGGAATCTGCAAGTGGATATTTGGCTAGCTTTGGGGATTTCGCTGGAAGCGGGAATACATATAAAAAGCACACAGCAGCGTTCTGAGAAACTGCTTTCTGATGTTTGCATTCAAGTCAAAAGTTGAACACTCCCTTTCATAGAGCAGTCTTGAAACACCCCTTTTGTAGTATCTGGAACTGGACTTTTGGAGCGATTTCAGGGCTAAGGTGAAAAAGGAAATATCTTCCCATAAAAACTGGACAGAAGCATTCTCAGAAACTTGGTTATGCTGTATCTACTCAACTAACAAAGTTGAACCTTTCTTTTGATAGAGCAGTTTTGAAATGGTCTTTTTGTGGAATCTGCAAGTGGATATTTGGCTAGTTTTGAGGATTTCGTTGGAAGCGGGAATTCATACAAATTGCAGACTGCAGCGTTCTGAGAAACATCTTTGTGATGTTTGTATTCAGGACACAGAGTTGAACATTCCCTATCATAGAGCAGGTTGGAATCACTCCTTTTGTAGTATCTGGAAGTGGACATTTGGAGCGCTTTCAGGCCTATTTTGGAAAGGGAAATATCTTCCCGTAACAACTATGCAGAAGCATTCTCAGAAACTTGTTGGTGATGTGTGCCCTCTACTGACAGAGTTGAACCTTTCTTTTCATAGAGCAGTTTTGAAACACTCTTTTTGTAGAATCTGCAAGAGGATATTTGCATAGCTTTGAGGATTTCGTGGGAAACGGGATTGTCTTCAGGTAAAATCTAGACAGAAGCATTCTCAGAAACTTCTTTGGGATGTTTGCATTCAAGTCACAGAGTAGAACATTCCCTTTGGTAGAGCAGGTTTGAAACACTCTTTTTATAGTATCTGGAAGTGGACATTTGGAGCGCTTTCAGGCCTATGTTGGAAAGGGAAATATCTTCCCGTAACAACTAGGCAGAAGCATTCTCAGAAACTTATTTGAGATGTGTGTACTCAACTAAGAGAATTGAACCACCGTTTTGAAGGAGCAGTTTTGAAACACTCTTTTTCTGGAATCTGCAAGAGGATATTTGCCTAGCTTTGAGGATTTCGTTGGAAACGGGATTGTCTTCAGATCAAATCTAGACAGAAGCATTCTCAGAAACTTCTTTGGGATGTTTGCATTCAAGTCACAGAGTAGAACATTCCCTTTGGTAGAGCAGGTTTGAAACACTCTTTTTTTAGTATATGGAAGTGGACATTTGGAGCACTTTCAGGCCTACGTTGGAAAAGGAAATATCTTCCCATAACAACTAGACAGAGAGCATTCTCAGAAACTAGTTTCTGATGTGTGTCCTCAACTAACACAGTTGAACATTTCTTTAGACAGAACAGTTTTGAAACACTCTTTTTGTGGAATCTGCAAGTGGATATTTGGCTAGATTTGAGGATTTCGTTGGAAACGGGATTACATATAAAAAGCAGACAGCAGCATTCTCAGAAACTTCTTTGTGATGATTGCATTCAAGTCACAGAATTGAACATTCCCTTTCACAGAGCAGGTTTGAAACACTCTTTTTGTAGTGTGTGTAAGTGGACATTTGGAGTGCTTTCCGGCCTAAGGTGAACAAGGAAATATCTTCCCATAAAAACTAGACAGAAGCATTCTCAGAAACTTACTCGTGATGTGTGTCCTCAACTAAAGGAGTAGAACCTTTCTTTTCATAGAGAAGTTTTGAAACGCTCTTTTTGTGGAATCTGCAAGTGGATATTTGGCTAGTTTGGAGGATTTCGTTGGAAGCGGGAATTCATACAAGATGCAGACTGCAGCGTTCTGAGAAACATCTTTGTGATGTTTGTATTCAGGACACAGAGTTGAACATTCCCTATCATAGAGCAGGTTTGAATCACTCCTTTTGTAGTATCTGGAAGTGGACATTTGGAGCGCTTTCAGGCCTATGTTGGAAAAGGAAATATCTTCCCATAACAACTAGACAGAAGCATTCCCAGAAACTTATTTGAGATGTGTGTACTCAACTAAGAGAATTGAACCACCGTTTTGAAGGAGCAGTTTGGAAACACTCTTTTTCTGGAATCTGCAAGTGGATATTTGGCTAGCTTTGGGGATTTCGCTGGAAGCGGGAATACATATAAAAAGCACACAGCAGCGTTCTGAGAAACTGCTTTCTGATGTTTGCATTCAAGTCAAAAGTTGAACACTCCCTTTCATAGAGCAGTCTTGAAACACCCCTTTTGTAGTATCTGGAACTGGAAATTTGGAGCGCTTTCAGGGCTAAGGTGAAAAAGGAAATATCTTCCCATAAAAACTGGACAGAAGCATTCTCAGAAACTTGTTTATGCTGTATCTACTCAACTAACAAAGTTGAACCTTTCTTTTGATAGAGCAGTTTTGAAATGCTCTTTTTGTGGAATCTGCAAGTGGATATTTGGCTAGTTTTGAGGATTTCGTTGGAAGCGGGAATTCATACAAATTGCAGACTGCAGCGTTCTGAGAAACATCTTTGTGATGTTTGTATTCAGGACACAGAGTTGAACATTCCCTATCATAGAGCAGGTTGGGATCACTCCTTTTGTAGTATCTGGAAGTGGACATTTGGAGCGCTTTCAGGCCTATGTTGAAAAAGGAAAAATCTTCCCATAACAACTAGACAGAAGCATTCTCAGAAACTTGTTGGTGATGTGTTTCCTCTACTGACAGAGTTGAACCTTTCTTTTCATAGAGCAGTTTCGAAACACTCTTTTTGTAGAATCTGCAAGAGGATATTTGCATAGCTCTGAGGATTTCGTGGGAAACGGGATTGTCTTCAGGTAAAATCTAGACAGAAGCATTCTCAGAAACTTCTTCGGGATGTTTGCATTCAAGTCACAGAGTAGAACATTCCCTTTGGTAGAGCAGGTTTGAAACACTCTTTTTGTCGTATCTGGAAGTGGACATTTGTTGCGCTTTCAGGCCTATGTTGGAAAGGGAAATATCTTCCCGTAACAACTAGGCAGAAGCATTCTCAGAAACTTATTTGAGATGTGTGTACTCAACTAAGAGAATTGAACCACCGTTTTGAACGAGCAGTTTGGAAACACTCTTTTTCTGGAATCTGCAAGAGGATATTTGCCTAGCTTTGAGGATTTCGTTGGAAAAGGGATTGTCTTCAGATCAAATCTAGACAGAAGCATTCTCAGAAACTTCTTTGGGATGTTTGCATTCAAGTCACAGAGTAGAACATTCCTTTGGTAGAGCAGGTTTGAAACACTCTTTTTTTAGTATATGGAAGTGGACATTTGGAGCGCTTTCAGGCCTACGTTGGAAAAGGAAATATCTTCCCATAACAACTAGACGGAAGCATTCTCAGAAACTAGTTTCTGATGTGTGTCCTCAACTAACACAGTTGAACATTTCTTTAGACAGAACAGTTTTGAAACACTCTTTTTGTGGAATCTGCAAGTGGCTATTTGGCTAGATTTGAGGATTTCGTTAGAAACGGGATTACATATAAAAAGCAGTCAGCAGCATTCTCAGAAAGTTCTTTGTGATGATTGCATTCAAGTCACAGAATTGAACATTCCCTTTCACAGAGCAGGTTTGAAACACTCTTTTTGTAGTGTGTGTAAGTGGACATTTGGAGCACTTACCGGCCTAAGGTGAAAAAGGAAATATCTTCCCATAAAAACTAGACAGAAGCATTCTCAGAAACTTACTCGTGATGTGTGCCCTCAACTAAAGGAGTAGAACCTTTCTATTCATAGAGAAGTTTTGAAACGCTCTTTTTGTGGAATCTCCAAGTGGATATTTGGGTAGTTTTGAGGATTCCGTTGGAAGCGGGAATTCATACAAATTGCAGACTGCAGCGTTATGAGAAACATCTTTGTGATGTTTGTATTCAGGACACAGAGATGAACATTCCCTATCATAGAGCAGGTTGGAATCACTCCTTTTGTAGTATCTGGAAGTGGACATTTGGAGCGCTTTCAGGCCTATGTTGAAAAAGTAAATATCTTCCCATAACAACTAGACACAAGCATTCTCAGAAACTTGTTTGTGATGTGTGACCTCTACTGACAGAGTTGAACCTTTCTTTTCATAGAGCAGTTTTGAAACACTCTTTTTGTAGAATCTGCAAGAGGATATTTGCATAGCTTTGAGGATTTCGTGGGAAACGGGATTGTCTTCAGGTAAAATCTAGACAGAAGCATTCTCAGAAACTTCTTTGGGATGTTTGCATTCAAGTCACAGAGTAGAACATTCCCTTTGGTAGAGCAGGTTTGAAACCCTCTTTTTGTAGTATCTGGAAGTGGACATTTGGAGCGCTTTCAGGCCCATGTTGGAAAGGGAAATATCTTCCCGTAACAACTAGGCAGAAGCATTCTCAGAAACTTATTTGAGATGTGTGTACTCAACTAAGAGAATTGAACCACCGTTTTGAAGGAGCAGTTTTGAAACACTCTTTTTCTGGAAACTGCAAGAGTATATTTGCCTAGCCTTGAAGATTTCGTTGGAAACGGGATTGTCTTCAGATAAAATCTAGACAGACGCATTCTCAGAAACTTCTTTGGGATGTTTGCATTCAAGTCACAGAGTAGAACATTCCCTTTGGTAGAGCAGGTTTGAAACACTCTTTTTTTAGTATATGGAAGTGGACATTTGGAGCGCTTTCAGGCCTACGTTGGAAAAGGAAATATCTTCCCATAACAACTAGACAGAAGCATTCTCAGAAACTAGTTTCTGATGTGTGTCCTCAACTAACACAGTTGAACTTTTCTTTAGACAGAACAGTTTTGAAACACTCTTTTTGTGGAATCTGCAAGTGGATATTTGGCTAGATTTGAGGATTTCGTTGGAAACGGGATTACATATAAAAAGCAGACAGCAGCATTCTCAGAAAGTTCTTTGTGATGATTGCATTCAAGTCACAGAATTGAACATTCCCTTTCACAGAGCAGGTTTGAAACACTCTTTTTGTAGTGTGTGTAAGTGGACATTTGGAGCGCTTTCCGGCCTAAGGTGAAAAAGGAAATATCTTCCCATAAAAACTAGACAGAAACATTCTCAGAAACTTACTCGTGATGTGTGTCCTCAACTAAAGGAGTAGAACCTTTCTATTCATAGAGAAATTTTGAAACGCTCTTTTTGTGGAATCTCCAAGTGGATATTTGGCTAGTTTTGAGGATTTCGTTGGAAGCGGGAATTCATACAAATTGCAGACTGCAGCGTTCTGAGAAACATCTTTGTGATGTTTGTATTCAGGACACAGAGATGAACATTCCCTATCATAGAGCAGGTTGGAATCACTCCTTTTGTAGTATCTGGAAGTGGACATTTGGAGCGCTTTCAGGCCTATGTTGAAAAAGGAAATATCTTCCCATAACAACTAGACACAAGCATTCTCAGAAACTTATTTGAGATGTGTGTACTCAACTAAGAGAATTGAACCACCGTTTTGAAGGAGCAGTTTTGAAACTCTCTTTTTCTGGAATCTGCAAGTGGATATTTGGCTAGCTTTGGGGATTTCGCTGGAAGCGGGAATACATATAAAAAGCACACAGCAGCGTTCTGAGAAACTGCTTTCTGATGTTTGCATTCAAGTCAAAAGTTGAACACTCCCTTTCATAGGGCAGTCCTGAAACACCCCTTTTGTAGTATCTGGAACTGGACTTTTGGAGCGATTTCAGGGCTAAGGTGAAAAAGGAAATATCTTCCCATAAAAACTGGACAGAAGCATTCTCAGAAACTTGTTTATGCTGTATCTACTCAACTAACAAAGTTGAACCTTTCTTTTGATAGAGCAGTTTTGAAATGGTCTTTTTGTGGAATCTGCAAGTGGATATTTGGCTAGTTTTGAGGATTTCGTTGGAAGCGGGAATTCATACAAATTGCAGACTGCAGCGTTCTGAGAAACATCTTTGTGATGTTTGTATTCAGGACACAGAGATGAACATTCCCTATCATAGAGCAGGTTTGAATCACTCCTTTTGTAGTATCTGGAAGTGGACATTTGGAGCGCTTTCAGGCCTATGTTGAAAAAGGAAATATCTTCCCATAACAACTAGACACAAGCATTCTCAGAAACTTGTTTGTGATGTGTGCCCTCTACTGACAGAGTTGAACCTTTCTTTTCATAGAGCAGTTTTGAAACACTCTTTTTGTAGAATCCGCAAGAGGATATTTGCATAGCTTTGAGGATTTCGTGGGAAACGGGATTGTCTTCAGGTAAAATCTAGACAGAAGCATTCTCAGAAACTTCTTTGGGATGTTTGCATTCAAGTCACAGAGTAGAACATTCCCTTTGGTAGAGCAGGTTTGAAACACTCTTTTTGTAGTATCTGGAAGTGGACATTTGGAGCGCTTTCAGGCCCATGTTGGAAAGGGAAATATCTTCCCGTAACAACTAGGCAGAAGCATTCTCAGAAACTTATTTGAGATGTGTGTACTCAACTAAGAGAATTGAACCACCGTTTTGAAGGAGCAGTTTTGAAACCCTCTTTTTCTGGAATCTGCAAGAGTATATTTGCCTAGCCTTGAGGATTTCGTTGGAAACGGGATTGTCTTCAGATAAAATCTAGACAGAAGCATTCTCAGAAACTTCTTTGGGATGTTTGCATTCAAGTCACAGAGTAGAACATTCCCTTTGGTAGAGCAGGTTTGAAACACTCTTTTTTTAGTATATGGAAGTGGACATTTGGAGCGCTTTCAGGCCTACGTTGGAAAAGGAAATATCTTCCCATAACAACTAGACAGAAGCATTCTCAGAAACTAGTTTCTGATGCGTGTCCTCAACTAACACAGTTGAACTTTTCTTTAGACAGAACAGTTTTGAAACACTCTTTTTGTGGAATCTGCAAGTGGATATTTGGCTAGATTTGAGGATTTCGTTGGAAACGGGATTACATATAAAAAGCAGACAGCAGCATTCTCAGAAAGTTCTTTGTGATGATTGCATTCAAGTCACAGAATTGAACATTCCCTTTCACAGAGCAGGTTTGAAACACTCTTTTTGTAGTGTGTGTAAGTGGACATTTGGAGCGCTTTCCGGCCTAAGGTGAAAAAGGAAATATCTTCCCATAAAAACTAGACTAGAAGCATTCTCAGAAACTTACTCGTGATGTGTGTCCTCAACTAAAGGAGTAGAACCTTTCTTTTCATAGAGAAGTTTTGAAACGCTCTTTTTGTGGAATCTGCAAGTGGATATTTGGCTAGTTTGGAGGATTTCGTTGGAAGCGGGAATTCATACAAATTGCAGACTGCAGCGTTCTGAGAAACATCTTTGTGATGTTTGTATTCAGGACACAGAGTTGAACATTCCCTATCATAGAGCAGGTTTGAATCACTCCTTTTGTAGTAGCTGGAAGTGGACATTTGGAGCGCTTTCAGGCCTATGTTGGAAAAGGAAATATCTTCCCGTAACAACTAGACAGAAGCATTCTCAGAAACTTATTTGAGATGTGTGTACTCAACTAAGAGAATTGAACCACCGTTTTGAAGGAGCAGTTTTGAAACACTCTTTTTCTGGAATCTGCAAGTGGATATTTGGCTAGCTTTGGGGATTTCGCTGGAAGCGGGAATACATATAAAAAGCACACAGCAGCGTTCTGAGAAACTGCTTTCTGATGTTTGCATTCAAGTCAAAAGTTGAACACTCCCTTTCATAGAGCAGTCTTGAAACACCCCTTTTGTAGTATCTGGAACTGGACTTTTGGAGCGATTTCAGGGCTAAGGTGAAAAAGGAAATATCTTCCCATAAAAACTGGACAGAAGCATTCTCAGAAACTTGGTTATGCTGTATCTACTCAACTAACAAAGTTGAACCTTTCTTTTGATAGAGCAGTTTTGAAATGGTCTTTTTGTGGAATCTGCAAGTGGATATTTGGCTAGTTTTGAGGATTTCGTTGGAAGCGGGAATTCATACAAATTGCAGACTGCAGCGTTCTGAGAAACATCTTTGTGATGTTTGTATTCAGGACACAGAGTTGAACATTCCCTATCATAGAGCAGGTTGGAATCACTCCTTTTGTAGTATCTGGAAGTGGACATTTGGAGCGCTTTCAGGCCTATGTTGGAAAAGGAAATATCTTCCCATAACAACTAGACAGAAGCATTCTCAGAAACTTATTTGAGATGTGTGTACTCAACTAAGAGAATTGAACCACCGTTTTGAAGGAGCAGTTTTGAAACACTCTTTTTCTGGAATCTGCAAGTGGATATTTGGCTAGCTTTGGGGATTTCGCTGGAGGCGGGAATACATATAAAAAGCACACAGCAGCGTTCTGAGAAACTGCTTTCTGATGTTTGCATTCAAGTCAAAAGTTGAACACTCCCTTTCATAGAGCAGTCCTGAAACACTCCTTTTGTAGTATCTGGAACTGGACTTTTGGAGCGCTTTCAGGGCTAAGGTGAAAAAGGAAATATCTTCCCATAAAAACTGGACAGAAGCATTCTCAGAAACTTGTTTATGCTGTATCTACTCTACTAACAAAGTTGAACCTTTCTTTTGATAGAGCAGTTTTGAAATGCTCTTTTTGTGGAATCTGCAAGTGGATATTTGGCTAGATTTGAGGATTTCGTTGGAACCTGGAATTCATACAAATTGCAGACTGCAGCGTTCTGAGAAACATCTTTGTGATGTTTGTATTCAGGACAGAGAGTTGAACATTCCCTATCATAGAGCAGGTTGGAATCACTCCTTTTGTAGTATCTGGAAGTGGACATTTGGAGCGCTTTCAGGCCTATGTTGAAAAAGGAAATATCTTCCCATAACAACTAGACACAAGCATTCTCAGAAACTTGTTTGTGATGTGTGCCCTCTACTGACAGAGTTGAACCTTTCTTTTCATAGAGCAGTTTTGAAACACTCTTTTTGTAGAATCTGCAAGAGGATATTTGCATAGCTTTGAGGATTTCGTGGGAAACGGGACTGTCTTCAGGTAAAATCTAGACAGAAGCATTCTCAGAAACTTCTTTGGGATGTTTGCATTCAAGTCACAGAGTAGAACATTCCCTTTGGTAGAGCAGGTTTGAAACACTCTTTTTGTAGTATCTGGAAGTGGACATTTGGAGCGCTTTCAGGCCTATGTTGGAAAGGGAAATATCTTCCCGTAACAACTAGGCAGAAGCATTCTCAGAAACTTATTTGAGATGTGTGTACTCAACTAAGAGAATTGAACCACCGTTTTGAAGGAGCAGTTTTGAAACACTCTTTTTCTGGAATCTGCAAGAGGATATTTGCCTAGCTTTGAGGATTTCGTTGGAAACGGGATTGTCTTCAGATCAAATCTAGACAGAAGCATTCTCAGAAACTTCTTTGGGATGTTTGCATTCAAGTCACAGAGTAGAACATTCCCTTTGGTAGAGCAGGTTTGAAACACTCTTTTTTTAGTATATGGAAGTGGACATTTGGAGCGCTTTCAGGCCTACGTTGGAAAAGGAAGTATCTTCCCATAACAATTAGACAGAAGCATTCTCAGAAACTAGTTTCTGATGTGTGTCCTCAACTAACACAGTTGAACTTTTCTTTAGACAGAACAGTTTTGAAACACTCTTTTTGTGGAATCTGCAAGTGGATATTTGGCTAGATTTGAGGATTTCGTTGGAAACGGGATTACATATAAAAAGCAGACAGCAGCATTCTCAGAAAGTTCTTTGTGATGATTGCATTCAAGTCACAGAATTGAACATTCCCTTTCACAGAGCAGGTTTGAAACACTCTTTTTGTAGTGTGTGTAAGTGGACATTTGGAGCACTTTCCGGCCTAAGGTGAAAAAGGAAATATCTTCCCATAAAAACTAGACAGAAGCATTCTCAGAAACTTACTCGTGATGTGTGTCCTCAACTAAAGGAGTAGAACCTTTCTTTCGCAGAGAAGTTTTGAAACGCTCTTTTTGTGGAATCTGCAAGTGGATATTTGGCTAGTTTGGAGGATTTCGTTGGAAGCGGGAATTCATACAAATTGCAGACTGCAGCGTTCTGAGAAACATCTTTGTGATGTTTGTATTCAAGACACAGAGATGAACATTCCCTCTCATAGAGCATGTTGGAATCACTCCTTTTGTAGTATCTGGAAGTGGACATTTGGAGCGCTTTCAGGCCTATGTTGAAAAAGGAAATATCTTCCCATAACAACTAGACACAAGCATTCTCAGAAACTTATTTGAGATGTGTGTACTCAACTAAGAGAATTGAACCACCGTTTTGAAGGAGCAGTTTTGAAACTCTCTTTTTCTGGAATCTGCAAGTGGATATTTGGCTAGCTTTGGGGATTTCGCTGGAAGCGGGAATACATATAAAAAGCACACAGCAGCGTTCTGAGAAACTGCTTTCTGATGTTTGCATTCAAGTCAAAAGTTGAACACTCCCTTTCATAGAGCAGTCTTGAAACACCCCTTTTGTAGTATCTGGAACTGGACTTTTGGAGCGATTTCAGGGCTAAGGTGAAAAAGGAAATATCTTCCCATAAAAACTGGACAGAAGCATTCTCAGAAACTTGTTTATGCTGTATCTACTCAACTAACAAAGTTGAACCTTTCTTTTGATAGAGCAGTTTTGAAATGGTCTTTTTGTGGAATCTGCAAGTGGATATTTGGCTAGTTTTGAGGATTTCGTTGGAAGCGGGAATTCATACAAATTGCAGACTGCAGCGTTCTGAGAAACGTCTTTGTGATGTTTGTATTCAGGACACAGAGTTGAACATTCCCTATCATAGAGCAGGTTGGAATCACTCCTTTTGTAGTATCTGGAAGTGGACATTTGGAGCGCTTTCAGGCCTATGTTGAAAAAGGAAATATCTTCCCATAACAACTAGACAGAAGCATTCTCAGAAACTTGTTTGTGATGTGTGCCCTCTACTGACAGAGTTGAACCTTTCTTTTCATAGAGCAGTTTTGAAACACTCTTTTTGTAGAATCTGCAAGAGGATATTTGCATAGCTTTGAGGATTTCGTGGGAAACGGGATTGTCTTCAGGTAAAATCTAGACAGAAGCATTCTCAGAAACTTCTTTGGGATGTTTGCATTCAAGTCACAGAGCAGAACATTCCCTTTGGTAGAGCAGGTTTGAAACACTCTTTTTTTAGTATATGGAAGTGGACATTTGGAGCGCTTTCAGGCCTACGTTGGAAAAGGAAATATCTTCCCATAACAACTAGACAGAAGCATTCTCAGAAACTAGTTTCTGATGTGTGTCCTCAACTAACACAGTTGAACATTTCTTTAGACAGAACAGTTTTGAAACACTCTTTTTGTGGAATCTGCAAGTGGCTATTTGGCTAGATTTGAGGATTTCGTTGGAAACGGGATTACATATAAAAAGCAGACAGCAGCATTCTCAGAAAGTTCTTTGTGATGATTGCATTCAAGTCACAGAATTGAACATTCCCTTTCACAGAGCAGGTTTGAAACACTCTTTTTATAGTGTGTGTAAGTGGACATTTGGAGCACTTTCCGGCCTAAGGTGAAAAAGGAAATATCTTCCCATAAAAACTAGACAGAAGCATTCTCAGAAACTTACTCGTGATGTGTGTCCTCAACTAAAGGAGTAGAACCTTTCTTTTCATAGAGAAGTTTTGAAACGCTCTTTTTGTGGAATCTGCAAGTGGATATTTGGCTAGTTTGGAGGATTTCGTTGGAAGCGGGAATTCATACAAATTGCAGACTGCAGCGTTCTGAGAAACATCTTTGTGATGTTTGTATTCAGGACACAGAGTTGAACATTCCCTATCATAGAGCAGGTTGGAATCACTCCTTTTGTAGTATCTGAAAGAGGACATTTGGAGCGCTTTCAAGCCTATGTTGGAAAAGGAAATATCTTCCCATAACAACTAGACAGAAGCATCCTCAGAAACTTATTTGAGATGTGTGTACTCAACTATGAGAATTGAACCACCGTTTTGAAGGAGCAGTTTTGAAACACTCTTTTTCTGGAATCTGCAAGTGGATATTTGGCTAGCTTTGGGGATTTCGCTGGAAGCGGGAATACATATAAAAAGCACACAGCAGCGTTCTGAGAAACTGCTTTCTGATGTTTGCATTCAAGTCAAAAGTTGAACACCCCCTTTCATAGAGCAGTCTTGAAACACCCCTTTTGTAGTATCTGGAACTGGACATTTGGAGCGCTTTCAGGGCTAAGGTGAAAAAGGAAATATCTTCCCATAAAAACTGGACAGAAGCATTCTCAGAAACTTGGTTATGCTGTATCTACTCAACTAACAAAGTTGAACCTTTCTTTTGATAGAGCAGTTTTGAAATGGTCTTTTTGTGGAATCTGCAAGTGGATATTTGGCTAGTTTTGAGGATTTCGTTGGAAGCGGGAATTCATACAAATTGCAGACTGCAGCGTTCTGAGAAACATCTTTGTGATGTTTGTATTCAGGACACAGAGTTGAACATTCCCTATCATAGAGCAGGTTGGAATCACTCCTTTTGTAGTATCTGGAAGTGGACATTTGGAGCGCTTTCAGGCCTATTTTGGAAAGGGAAATATCTTCCCGTAACAACTATGCAGAAGCATTCTCAGAAACTTGTTTGTGATGTGTGCCCTCTACTGACAGAGTTGAACCTTTCTTTTCATAGAGCAGTTTTGAAACACTCTTTTTGTAGAATCTGCAAGAGGATATTTGCATAGCTTTGAGGATTTCGTGGGAAACGGGATTGTCTTCAGGTAAAATCTAGACAGAAGCATTCTCAGAAACTTCTTTGGGATGTTTGCATTCAAGTCACAGAGTAGAACATTCCCTTTGGTAGAGCAGGTTTGAAACACTCTTTTTGTAGTATCTGGAAGTGGACATTTGGAGCGCTTTCAGGCCTATGTTGGAAAGGGAAATATCTTCCCTTAACAACTAGGCAGAAGCATTCTCAGAAACTTATTTGAGATGTGTGTACTCAACTAAGAGAATTGAACCACCGTTTTGAAGGACCAGTTTTGAAACACTCTTTTTCTGGAATCTGCAAGAGGATATTTGCCTAGCTTTGAGGATTTCGTTGGAAACGGGATTGTTTTCAGATAAAATCTAGACAGAAGCATTCTCAGAAACTTCTTTGGGATGTTTGCATTCAAGTCACAGAGTAGAACATTCCCTTTGGTAGAGCAGGTTTGAAACACTCTTTTTTTAGTATATGGAAGTGGACATTTGGAGCACTTTCAGGCCTACGTTGGAAAAGGAAATATCTTCCCATAACAACTAGACAGAGAGCATTCTCAGAAACTAGTTTCTGATGTGTGTCCTCAACTAACACAGTTGAACATTTCTTTAGACAGAACAGTTTTGAAACACTCTTTTTGTGGAATCTGCAAGTGGCTATTTGGCTAGATTTGAGGATTTCGTTGGAAACGGGATTACATATAAAAAGCAGTCAGCGGCATTCTCAGAAAGTTCTTTGTGATGATTGCATTCAAGTCACAGAATTGAACATTCCCTTTCACAGAGCAGGTTTGAAACACTCTTTTTGTAGTGTGTGTAAGTGGACATTTGGAGCACTTACCGGCCTAAGGTGAAAAAGGAAATAATCTTCCCATAAAAACTAGACAGAAGCATTCTCAGAAACTTACTCGTGATGTGTGTCCTCAACTAAAGGAGTAGAACCTTTCTTTTCATAGAGAAGTTTTGAAACGCTCTTTTTGTGGAATCTGCAAGTGGATATTTGGCTAGTTTTGAGGATTTCGTTGGAAGCGGGAATTCATACAAATTGCAGACTGCAGCGTTCTGAGAAACATCTTTGTGATGTTTGTATTCAGGACACAGAGTTGAACATTCCCTATCATAGAGCAGGTTTGAATCACTCCTTTTGTAGTATCTGGAAGTGGACATTTGGAGCGCTTTCAGGCCTATGTTGGAAAAGGAAATATCTTCCCATAACAACTAGACAGAAGCATTCTCAGAAACTTATTTGAGATGTGTCTACTCAACTAAGAGAATTGAACCACCGTTTTGAAGGAGCAGTTTTGAAACACTCTTTTTCTGGAATCTGCAAGTGGATATTTGGCTAGCTTTGGGGATTTCGCTGGAAGCGGGAATACATATAAAAAGCACACAGCAGCGTTCTGAGAAACTGCTTTCTGATGTTTGCATTCAAGTCAAAAGTTGAACACTCCCTTTCATAGAGCAGTCTTGAAACACCCCTTTTGTAGTATCTGGAACTGGACTTTTGGAGCGATTTTAGGGCTAAGGTGAAAAAGGAAATATCTTCCCATAAAAACTGGACAGAAGCATTCTCAGAAACTTGTTTATGCTGTATCTACTCAACTAACAAAGTTGAACCTTTCTTTTGATAGAGCAGTTTTGAAATGGTCTTTTTGTGGAATCTGCAAGTGGATATTTGGCTAGTTTTGAGGATTTCGTTGGAAGCGGGAATTCATACAAATTGCAGACTGCAGCGTTCTGAGAAACATCTTTGTGATGTTTGTATTCAGGACACAGAGATGAACATTCCCTATCATAGAGCAGGTTGGAATCACTCCTTTTGTAGTATCTGGAAGTGGACATTTGGAGCGCTTTCAGGCCTATGTTGAAAAAGGAAATATCTTCCCATAACAACTAGACACAAGCATTCTCAGAAACTTGTTTGTGATGTGTGCCCTCTACTGACAGAGTTGAACCTTTCTTTTCATAGAGCAGTTTTGAAACACTCTTTTTGTAGAATCCGCAAGAGGATATTTGCATAGCTTTGAGGATTTCGTGGGAAACGGGATTGTCTTCAGGTAAAATCTAGACAGAAGCATTCTCAGAAACTTCTTTGGGATGTTTGCATTCAAGTCACAGAGTAGAACATTCCCTTTGGTAGAGCAGGTTTGAAACACTCTTTTTGTAGTATCTGGAAGTGGACATTTGGAGCGCTTTCAGGCCCATGTTGGAAAGGGAAATATCTTCCCGTAACAACTAGGCAGAAGCATTCTCAGAAACTTATTTGAGATGTGTGTACTCAACTAAGAGAATTGAACCACCGTTTTGAAGGAGCAGTTTTGAAACACTCTTTTTCTGGAATCTGCAAGAGTATATTTCCCTAGCCTTGAGGATTTCGTTGGAAACGGGATTGTCTTCAGATAAAATCTAGACAGAAGCATTCTCAGAAACTTCTTTGGGATGTTTGCATTCAAGTCACAGAGTAGAACATTCCCTTTGGTAGAGCAGGTTTGAAACACTCTTTTTTTAGTATATGCAAGTGGACATTTGGAGCGCTTTCAGGCCTACGTTGGAAAAGGAAATATCTTCCCATAATAACTAGACAGAAGCATTCTCAGAAACTAGTTTCTGATGTGTGTCCTCAACTAACACAGTTGTACATTTCTTTAGACAGAACAGTTTTGAAACACTCTTTTTGTGGAATCTGCAAGTGGATATTGGGCTAGATTTGAGGATTTCGTTGGAAACGGGATTACATATAAAAAGCAGTCAGCAAGCATTCTCAGAAAGTTCTTTGTGATGATTGCATTCAAGTCACAGAATTGAACATTCCCTTTCACAGAGCAGGTTTGAAACACTCTTTTTGTAGTGTGTGTAAGTGGACATTTGGAGCACTTACCGGCCTAAGGTGAAAAAGGAAATATCTTCCCATAAAAACTAGACAGAAGCATTCTCAGAAACTTACTCGTGATGTGTGTCCTCAACTAAAGGAGTAGAACCTTTCTTTTCATAGAGAAGTTTTGAAACGCTCTTTTTGTGGAATCTGCAAGTGGATATTTGGCTAGTTTTGAGGATTTCGTTGGAAGCGGGAATTCATACAAATTGCAGACTGCAGCGTTCTGAGAAACATCTTTGTGATGTTTGTATTCAGGACACAGAGTTGAACATTCCCTATCATAGAGCAGGTTGGAATCACTCCTTTTGTAGTATCTGGAAGTGGACATTTGGAGCGCTTTCAGGCCTATTTTGGAAAGGGAAATATCTTCCCGTAACAACTATGCAGAAGCATTCTCAGAAACTTGTTTGTGATGTGTGCCCTCTACTGACAGAGTTGAACCTTTCTTTTCATAGAGCAGTTTTGAAACACTCTTTTTGTAGAATCTGCAAGAGGATATTTGCATAGCTTTGAGGATTTCGTGGGAAACGGGATTGTCTTCAGGTAAAATCTAGACAGAAGCATTCTCAGAAACTTCTTTGGGATGTTTGCATTCAAGTCACAGAGTAGAACATTCCCTTTGGTAGAGCAGGTTTGAAACCCTCTTTTTGTAGTATCTGGAAGTGGACATTTGGAGCGCTTTCAGGCCCATGTTGGAAAGGGAAATATCTTCCCGTAACAACTAGGCAGAAGCATTCTCAGAAACTTATTTGAGATGTGTGTACTCAAGTAAGAGAACTGAACCACCGTTTTGAAGGAGCAGTTTTGAAACACTCTTTTTCTGGAATCTGCAAGAGTATATTTGCCTAGCCTTGAGAATTTCGTTGGAAACGGGATTGTCTTCAGATAAAATCTAGACAGAAGCATTCTCAGAAACTTCTTTGGGATGTTTGCATTCAAGTCACAGAGTAGAACATTCCCTTTGGTAGAGCAGGTTTGAAACACTCTTTTTTTAGTATATGGAAGTGGACATTTGGAGCGCTTTCAGGCCTACGTTGGAAAAGGAAATATCTTCCCATAACAACTAGACAGAAGCATTCTCAGAAACTGGTTTCTGATGTGTGTCCTCAACTAACACAGTTGTACATTTCTTTAGACAGAACAGTTTTGAAACACTCTTTTTGTGGAATCTGCAAGTGGATATTGGGCTAGATTTGAGGATTTCGTTGGAAACGGGATTACATATAAAAAGCAGACAGCAGCATTCTCAGAAAGTTCTTTGTGATGATTGCATTCAAGTCACAGAATTGAACATTCCCTTTCACAGAGCAGGTTTGAAACACTCTTTTTGTAGTGTGTGTAAGTGGACATTTGGAGCGCTTTCCGGCCTAAGGTGAAAAAGGAAATATCTTCCCATAAAAACTAGACAGAAGCATTCTCAGAAAACTTACTCGTGATGTGTGTCCTCAACTAAAGGAGTAGAACCTTTCTATTCATAGAGAAGTTTTGAAACGCTCTTTTTGTGGAATCTCCAAGTGGATATTTGGCTAGTTTTGAGGATTTCGTTGGAAGCGGGAATTCATACAAATTGCAGACTGCAGCGTTCTGAGAAACATCTTTGTGATGTTTGTATTCAGGACACAGAGAGGAACATTCCCTATCATAGAGCAGGTTGGAATCACTCCTTTTGTAGTATCTGGAAGTGGACATTTGGAGCGCTTTCAGGCCTATGTTGAAAAAGGAAATATCTTCCCATAACAACTAGACACAAGCATTCTCAGAAACTTATTTGAGATGTGTGTACTCAACTAAGAGAATTGAACCACCGTTTTGAAGGAGCAGTTTTGAAACTCTCTTTTTCTGGAATCTGCAAGTGGATATTTGGCTAGCTTTGGGGATTTCGCTGGAAGCGGGAATACATATAAAAAGCACACAGCAGCGTTCTGAGAAACTGCTTTCTGATGTTTGCATTCAAGTCAAAAGTTGAACACTCCCTTTCATAGAGCAGTCTTGAAATACCCGTTTTGTAGTATCTGGAACTGGACTTTTGGAGCGATTTCAGGGCTAAGGTGAAAAAGGAAATATCTTCCCATAAAAACTGGACAGAAGCATTCTCAGAAACTTGTTTATGCTGTAACTACTCAACTAACAAAGTTGAACCTTTCTTTTGATAGAGCAGTTTTGAAATGGTCTTTTTGTGGAATCTGCAAGTGGATATTTGGCTAGTTTTGAGGATTTCGTTGGAAGCGGGAATTCATACAAATTGCAGACTGCAGCGTTGTGAGAAACATCTTTGTGATGTTTGTATTCAGGACACAGAGTTGAACATTCCCTATCATAGAGCAGGTTGGAATCACTCCTTTTGTAGTATCTGGAAGTGGACATTTGGAGCGCTTTCAGGCCTATGTTGAAAAAGGAAATATCTTCCCATAACAACTAGGCAGAGGCATTCTCAGAAACTTGTTTGTGATGTGTGCCCTCTACTGACACAGTTGAACCTTTCTTTTCATAGAGCAGTTTCGAAACACTCTTTTTGTAGAATCTGCAAGAGGATATTTGCATAGCTTTGAGGATTTCGTGGGAAACGGGATT
Organism: Homo sapiens; assembly: GCF_000001405.40. Taxonomy (NCBI): domain Eukaryota; kingdom Metazoa; phylum Chordata; class Mammalia; order Primates; family Hominidae; genus Homo; species Homo sapiens. Next base: position 19,039,408 of record NC_000018.10, read on the forward strand.
GTCTTCAGGTAAAATCTAGACAGAAGCATTCTCAGAAACTTATTTGAGATGTGTGTACTGAACTAAGAGAATTGAACCACCGTTTTGAAGGAGCAGGTTTGAAACACTCTTTTTGTAGTATCTGGAAGTGGACATTTGGAGCGCTTTCAGGCCTATGTTGGAAAGGGAAATATCTTCCCGTAACAACTAGGCAGAAGCATTCTCAGAAACTTATTTGAGATGTGTGTACTCAACTAAGAGAATTGAACCACCGTTTTGAAGGAGCAGTTTTGAAACACTCTTTTTCTGGAATCTGCAAGAGGATATTTGCATAGATTTGAGGATTCCGTTGGAAACGGGATTGTCTTCAGATCAAATCTAGACAGAAGCATTCTCAGAAACTTCTTTGGGATGTTTGCATTCAAGTCACAGAGTAGAACATTCCCTTTGGTAGAGCAGGTTTGAAACACTCTTTTTTTAGTATATGGAAGTGGACATTTGGAGCGCTTTCAGGCCTACGTTGGAAAAGGAAATATCTTCCCATTACAACTAGACAGAAGCATTCTCAGAAACTAGTTTCTGATGTGTGTCCTCAACTAACACAGTTGAACATTTCTTTAGACAGAACAGTTTTGAAACACTCTTTTTGTGGAATCTGCAAGTGGCTATTTGGCTAGATTTGAGGATTTCGTTGGAAACGGGATTACATATAAAAAGCAGACAGCAGCATTCTCAGAAAGTTCTTTGTGATGATTGCATTCAAGTCACAGAATTGAACATTCCCTTTCACAGAGCAGGTTTGAAACACTCTTTTTGTAGTGTGTGTAAGTGGACATTTGGAGCACTTTCCGGCCTAAGGTGAAAAAGGAAATATCTTCCCATAAAAACTAGACAGAAGCATTCTCAGAAACTTACTCGTGATGTGTGTCCTCAACTAAAGGAGTAGAACATTTCTATTCATAGAGAAGTTTTGAAACGCTCTTTTTGTGGAATCTCCAAGTGGATATTTGGCTAGTTTTGAGGATTTCGTTGGAAGCGGGAATTCATACAAATTGCAGACTGCAGCGTTCTGAGAAACATCTTTGTGATGTTTGTATTCAGGACACAGAGATGAACATTCCCTATCATAGAGCAGGTTGGAATCACTCCTTTTGTAGTATCTGGAAGTGGACATTTGGAGCGCTTTCAGGCCTATGTTGAAAAAGGAAATATCTTCCCATAACAACTAGACACAAGCATTCTCAGAAACTTATTTGAGATGTGTGTACTCAACTAAGAGAATTGAACCACCGTTTTGAAGGAGCAGTTTTGAAACACTCTTTTCCTGGAATCTGCAAGTGGATATTTGGCTAGCTTTGGGGATTTCGCTGGAAGCGGGAATACATATAAAAAGCACACAGCAGCGTTCTGAGAAACTGCTTTCTGATGTTTGCATTCAAGTCAAAAGTTGAACACTCCCTTTCATAGAGCAGTCCTGAAACACTCCTTTTGTAGTATCTGGAACTGGACTTTTGGAGCGCTTTCAGGGCTAAGGTGAAAAAGGAAATATCTTCCCATAAAAACTGGACAGAAGCATTCTCAGAAACTTGTTTATGCTGTATCTACTCAACTAACAAAGTTGAACCTTTCTTTTGATAGAGCAGTTTTGAAATGGTCTTTTTGTGGAATCTGCAAGTGGATATTTGGCTAGTTTTGAGGATTTCGTTGGAAGCGGGAATTCATACAAATTGCAGACTGCAGCGTTCTGAGAAACATCTTTGTGATGTTTGTATTCAGGACAGAGAGTTGAACATTCCCTATCATAGAGCAGGTTGGAATCACTCCTTTTGTAGTATCTGGAAGTGGACATTTGGAGCGCTTTCAGGCCTATTTTGGAAAGGGAAATATCTTCCCGTAACAACTATGCAGAAGCATTCTCAGAAACTTGTTTGTGATGTGTGCCCTCTACTGACAGAGTTGAACCTTTCTTTTCATAGAGCAGTTTTGAAACACTCTTTTTGTAGAATCTGCAAGAGGATATTTGCATAGCTTTGAGGATTTCGTGGGAAACGGGATTGTCTTCAGGTAAAATCTAGACAGAAGCATTCTCAGAAACTTCTTTGGGATGTTTGCATTCAAGTCACAGAGCAGAACATTCCCTTTGGTAGAGCAGGCTTGAAACACTCTTTTTGTAGTATCTGGAAGTGGACATTTGGAGCGCTTTCAGGCCTATGTTGGAAAGGGAAATATCTTCCCGTAACAACTAGGCAGAAGCATTCTCAGAAACTTATTTGAGATGTGTGTACTCAACTAAGAGAATTGAACCACCGTTTTGAAGGAGCAGTTTTGAAACACTCTTTTTCTGGAATCTGCAAGAGGATATTTGCCTAGCCTTGAGGATTTCGTTGGAAACGGGATTGTCTTCAGATCAAATCTAGACAGAAGCATTCTCAGAAACTTCTTTGGGATGTTTGCATTCAAGTCACAGAGTAGAACATTCCCTTTGGTAGAGCAGGTTTGAAACACTCTTTTTTTAGTATATGGAAGTGGACATTTGGAGCGCTTTCAGGCCTACTTTGGAAAAGGAAATATCTTCCCATAACAACTAGACAGAAGCATTCTCAGAAACTAGTTTCTGATGTGTGTCCTCAACTAACACAGTTGAACATTTCTTTAGACAGAACAGTTTTGAAACACTCTTTTTGTGGAATCTGCAAGTGGCTATTTGGCTAGATTTGAGGATTTCGTTGGAAACGGGATTACATATAAAAAGCAGACAGTAGCATTCTCAGAAAGTTCTTTGTGATGATTGCATTCAAGTCACAGAATTGAACATTCCCTTTCACAGAGCAGGTTTGAAAGACTCTTTTTGTAGTGTGTGTAAGTGGACATTTGGAGCACTTACCGGCCTAAGGTGAAAAAGGAAATATCTTCCCATAAAAACTAGACAGAAGCATTCTCAGAAACTTACTCGTGATGTGTGTCCTCAACTAAAGGAGTAGAACCTTTCTTTTCATAGAGAAGTTTTGAAACGCTCTTTTTGTGGAATCTGCAAGTGGATATTTGGCTAGTTTGGAGGATTTCGTTGGAAGCGGGAATTCATACAAATTGCAGACTGCAGCGTTCTGAGAAACATCTTTGTGATGTTTGTATTCAGGACACAGAGTTGAACATTCCCTATCATAGAGCAGGTTGGAATCACTCCTTTTGTAGTATCTGGAAGTGGACATTTGGAGCGCTTTCAGGCCTATGTTGGAAAAGGAAATATCTTCCCATAACAACTAGACAGAAGCATTCTCAGAAACTTATTTGAGATGTGTGTACTCAACTAAGAGAATTGAACCACCGTTTTGAAGGAGCAGTTTTGAAACTCTCTTTTTCTGGAATCTGCAAGTGGATATTTGGCTAGCTTTGGGGATTTCGCTGGAAGCGGGAATACATATAAAAAGCACACAGCAGCGTTCTGAGAAACTGCTTTCTGATGTTTGCATTCAAGTCAAAAGTTGAACACTCCCTTTCATAGAGCAGTCTTGAAACACCCCTTTTGTAGTATCTGGAACTGTTCTTTTGGAGCGATTTCAGGGCTAAGGTGAAAAAGGAAATATCTTCCCATAAAAACTGGACAGAAGCATTCTCAGAAACTTGGTTATGCTGTATCTACTCAACTAACAAAGTTGAACCTTTCTTTTGATAGAGCAGTTTTGAAATGGTCTTTTTGTGGAATCTGCAAGTGGATATTTGGCTAGTTTTGAGGATTTCGTTGGAAGCGGGAATTCATACAAATTGCAGACTGCAGCGTTCTGAGAAACATCTTTGTGATGTTTGTATTCAGGACACAGAGATGAACATTCCCTATCATAGAGCAGGTTGGAATCACTCCTTTTGTAGTATCTGGAAGTGGACATTTGGAGCGCTTTCAGGCCTATGTTGAAAAAGGAAATATCTTCCCATAACAACTAGACACAAGCATTCTCAGAAACTTGTTTGTGATGTGTGCCCTCTACTGACAGAGTTGAACCTTTCTTTTCATAGAGCAGTTTTGAAACACTCTTTTATAGAATCCGCAAGAGGATATTTGGATAGCTTTGAGGATTTCGTGGGAAACGGGATTGTCTTCAGGTAAAATCTAGACAGAAGCATTCTCAGAAACTTCTTTGGGATGTTTGCATTCAAGTCACAGAGTAGAACATTCCCTTTGGTAGAGCAGGTTTGAAACACTCTTTTTGTAGTATCTGGAAGTGGACATTTGGAGCGCTTTCAGGCCCATGTTGGAAAGGGAAATATCTTCCCGTAACAACTAGGCAGAAGCATTCTCAGAAACTTATTTGAGATGTGTGTACTCAACTAAGAGAATTGAACCACCGTTTTGAAGGAGCAGTTTTGAAACACTCTTTTTCTGGATTCTGCAAGAATATATTTGCCTAGCCTTGAGGATTTCGTTGGAAACGGGATTGTCTTCAGATAAAATCTAGACAGAAGCATTCTCAGAAACTTCTTTGGGATGCTTGCATTCAAGTCACAGAGTAGAACATTCCCTTTGGTAGAGCAGGTTTGAAACACTCTTTTTGTAGTATCTGGAAGTGGACATTTGGAGCGCTTTCAGGCCTACGTTGGAAAAGGAAATATCTTCCCATAACAACTAGACAGAAGCATTCTCAGAAACTAGTTTCTGATGTGTGTCCTCAACTAACACAGTTGAACATTTCTTTAGACAGAACAGTTTTGAAACACTCTTTTTGTGGAATCTGCAAGTGGCTATTTGGCTAGATTTGAGGATTTCGTTGGAAACGGGATTACATATAAAAAGCAGTCAGCAGCATTCTCAGAAAGTTCTTTGTGATGATTGCATTCAAGTCACAGAATTGAACATTCCCTTTCACAGAGCAGGTTTGAAACACTCTTTTTGTAGTGTGTGTAAGTGGACATTTGGAGCACTTACCGGCCTAAGGTGAAAAAGGAAATAATCTTCCCATAAAAACTAGACAGAAGCATTCTCAGAAACTTACTCGTGATGTGTGTCCTCAACTAAAGGAGTAGAACCTTTCTTTTCATAGAGAAGTTTTGAAACGCTCTTTTTGTGGAATCTGCAAGTGGATATTTGGCTAGTTTTGAGGATTTCGTTGGAAGCGGGAATTCATACAAATTGCAGACTGCAGCGTTCTGAGAAACATCTTTGTGATGTTTGTATTCAGGACACAGAGTTGAACATTCCCTATCATAGAGCAGGTTTGAATCACTCCTTTTGTAGTATCTGGAAGTGGACATTTGGAGCGCTTTCAGGCCTATGTTGGAAAAGGAAATATCTTCCCATAACAACTAGACAGAAGCATTCTCAGAAACTTATTTGAGATGTGTGTACTCAACTAAGAGAATTGAACCACCGTTTTGAAGGAGCAGTTTTGAAACACTCTTTTTCTGGAATCTGCAAGTGGATATTTGGCTGGCTTTGGGGATTTCGCTGGAAGCGGGAATACATATAAAAAGCACACAGCAGCGTTCTGAGAAACTGCTTTCTGATGTTTGCATTCAAGTCAAAAGTTGAACACTCCCTTTCATAGAGCAGTCCTGAAACACCCCTTTTGTAGTATCTGGAACTGGACTTTTGGAGCGATTTCAGGGCTAAGGTGAAAAAGGAAATATCTTCCCATAAAAACTGGACAGAAGCATTCTCAGAAACTTGTTTATGCTGTATCTACTCAACTAACAAAGTTGAACCTTTCTTTTGATAGAGCAGTTTTGAAATGCTCTTTTTGTGGAATCTGCAAGTGGATATTTGGCTAGTTTTGAGGATTTCGTTGGAAGCGGGAATTCATACAAATTGCAGACTGCAGCGTTCTGAGAAACATCTTTGTGATGTTTGTATTCAGGACAGAGAGTTGAACATTCCCTATCATAGAGCAGGTTGGAATCACTCCTTTTGTAGTATCTGGAAGTGGACATTTGGAGCGCTTTCAGGCCTATGTTGAAAAAGGAAATATCTTCCCATAACAACTAGACACAAGCATTCTCAGAAACTTGTTTGTGATGTGTGCCCTCTACTGACAGAGTTGAACCTTTCTTTTCATAGAGCAGTTTTGAAACACTCTTTTTGTAGAATCTGCAAGAGGATATTTGCATAGCTTTGAGGATTTCGTGGGAAACGGGATTGTCTTCAGGTAAAATCTAGACAGAAGCATTCTCAGAAACTTCTTTGGGATGTTTGCATTCAAGTCACAGAGTAGAACATTCCCTTTGGTAGAGCAGGTTTGAAACACTCTTTTTGTAGTATCTGGAAGTGGACATTTGGAGCGCTTTCAGGCCTATGTTGGAAAGGGAAATATCTTCCCGTAACAACTAGGCAGAAGCATTCTCAGAAACTTATTTGAGATGTGTGTACTCAACTAAGAGAATTGAACCACCGTTTTGAAGGAGCAGTTTTGAAACACTCTTTTTCTGGAATCTGCAAGAGGATATTTGCCTAGCCTTGAGGATTTCGTTGGAAACGGGATTGTCTTCAGATCAAATCTAGACAGAAGCATTCTCAGAAACTTCTTTGGGATGTTTGCATTCAAGTCACAGAGTAGAACATTCCCTTTGGTAGAGCAGGTTTGAAACACTCTTTTTTTAGTATATGGAAGTGGACATTTGGAGCGCTTTCAGGCCTACGTTGGAAAAGGAAATATCTTCCCATAACAACTAGACAGAAGCATTCTCAGAAACTAGTTTCTGATGTGTGTCCTCAACTAACACAGTTGAACATTTCTTTAGACAGAACAGTTTTGAAACACTCTTTTTGTGGAATCTGCAAGTGGCTATTTGGCTAGATTTGAGGATTTCGTTGGAAACGGGATTACATATAAAAAGCAGACAGCAGCATTCTCAGAAAGTTCTTTGTGATGATTGCATTCAAGTCACAGAATTGAACATTCCCTTTCACAGAGCAGGTTTGAAACACTCTTTTTGTAGTGTGTGTAAGTGGACATTTGGAGCACTTTCCGGCCTAAGGTGAAAAAGGAAATATCTTCCCATAAAAACTAGACAGAAGCACTCTCAGAAACTTACTCGTGATGTGTGTCCTCAACTAAAGGAGTAGAACCTTTCTTTTCATAGAGAAGTTTTGAAACGCTCTTTTTGTGGAATCTGCAAGTGGATATTTGGCTAGTTTGGAGGATTTCGTTGGAAGCGGGAATTCATACAAATTGCAGACTGCAGCGTTCTGAGAAACATCTTTGTGATGTTTGTATTCAGGACACAGAGTTGAACATTCCCTATCATAGAGCAGGTTTGAATCACTCCTTTTCTAGTATCTGGAAGTGGACATTTGGAGCGCTTTCAGGCCTATGTTGGAAAAGGAAATATCTTCCCATAACAAATAGACAGAAGCATTCTCAGAAACTTATTTGAGATGTGTGTACTCAACTAAGAGAATTGAACCACCGTTTTGAAGGAGCAGTTTTGAAACACTCTTTTTCTGGAATCTGCAAGTGGATATTTGGCTAGCTTTGGGGATTTCGCTGGAAGCGGGAATACATATAAAAAGCACACAGCAGCGTTCTGAGAAACTGCTTTCTGATGTTTGCATTCAAGTCAAAAGTTGAACACTCCCTTTCATAGAGCAGTCTTGAAACACCCCTTTTGTAGTATCTGGAACTGGACATTTCGGGCGCTTTCAGGGCTAAGGTGAAAAAGGAAATATCTTCCCATAAAAACTGGACAGAAGCATTCTGAGAAACTTGTTTATGCTGTATCTACTCAACTAACAAATTTGAAGCTTTCTTTTGATAGAGCAGTTTTGTAATGCTCTTTTTGTGGAATCTGCAAGTGGATATTTGGCTAGTTTTGAGGATTTCGTTGGAAGCGGGAATTCATACAAATTGCACACTGCAGCGTTCTGAGAAACATCTTTGTGATGTTTGTATTCAGGACACAGAGTTGAACATTCCCTATCATAGAGCAGGTTGGAATCACTCCTTTTGTAGTATCTGGAAGTGGACATTTGGAGCGCTTTCAGGCCTATTTTGGAAAGGGAAATATCTTCCCGTAACAACTATGCAGAAGCATTCTCAGAAACTTGTTTGTGATGTGTGCCCTCTACTGACAGAGTTGAACCTTTCTTTTCATAGAGCAGTTTTGAAACACTCTTTTTGTAGAATCTGCAAGAGGATATTTGCATAGCTTTGAGGATTTCGTGGGAAACGGGATTGTCTTCAGGTAAAATCTAGACAGAAGCATTCTCAGAAACTTCTTTGGGATGTTTGCATTCAAGTCACAGAGTAGAACATTCCCTTTGGTAGAGCAGGTTTGAAACACTCTTTTTGTAGTATCTGGAAGTGGACATTTGGAGCGCTTTCAGGCCCATGTTGGAAAAGGAAATATCTTCCTGTAACAACTAGGCAGAAGCATTCTCAGAAACTTATTTGAGATGTGTGTACTCAACTAAGAGAATTGAACCACCGTTTTGAAGGAGCAGTTGTGAAACACTCTTTTTCTGGAATCTGCTAGAGTATATTTGCCTAGCTTTGAGGATTTCGTTGGAAACGGGATTGTACTTCAGCTCAAATCTAGACAGAAGCGTTCTCAGAAACTTCTTTGGGATGTTTGCATTCAAGTCACAGAGTAGAACATTCCCTTTGGTAGAGCAGGTTTGAAACACTCTTTTTTTAGTATATGGAAGTGGACATTTGGAGCACTTTCAGGCCTACGTTGGAAAAGGAAATATCTTCCCATAACAACTAGACAGAAGCATTCTCAGAAACTAGTTTCTGATGTGTGTCCTCAACTAACACAGTTGAACATTTCTTTAGACAGAACAGTTTTGAAACACTCTTTTTGTGGAATCTGCAAGTGGCTATTTGGCTAGATTTGAGGATTTCGTTGGAAACGGGATTACATATAAAAAGCAGTCAGCGGCATTCTCAGAAAGTTCTTTGTGATGATTGCATTCAAGTCACAGAATTGAACATTCCCTTTCACAGAGCAGGTTTGAAACACTCTTTTTGTAGTGTGTGTAAGTGGACATTTGGAGCACTTACCGGCCTAAGGTGAAAAAGGAAATAATCTTCCCATAAAAACTAGACAGAAGCATTCTCAGAAACTTACTCGTGATGTGTGTCCTCAACTAAAGGAGTAGAACCTTTCTTTTCATAGAGAAGTTTTGAAACGCTCTTTTTGTGGAATCTGCAAGTGGATATTTGGCTAGTTTTGAGGATTTCGTTGGAAGCGGGAATTCATACAAATTGCAGACTGCAGCGTTCTGAGAAACATCTTTGTGATGTTTGTATTCAGGACACAGAGTTGAACATTCCCTATCATAGAGCAGGTTGGAATCACTCCTTTTGTAGTATCTGGAAGTGGACATTTGGAGCGCTTTCAGGCCTATGTTGGAAAAGGAAATATCTTCCCATAACAACTAGACAGAAGCATTCTCAGAAACTTATTTGAGATGTGTGTACTCAACTAAGAGAATTGAACCACCGTTTTGAAGGAGCAGTTTTGAAACTCTCTTTTTCTGGAATCTGCAAGTGGATATTTGGCTAGCTTTGGGGATTTCGCTGGAAGCGGGAATACATATAAAAAGCACACAGCAGCGTTCTGAGAAACTGCTTTCTGATGTTTGCATTCAAGTCAAAAGTTGAACACTCCCTTTCATAGAGCAGTCTTGAAACACCCCTTTTGTAGTATCTGGAACTGGACTTTTGGAGCGATTTCAGGGCTAAGGTGAAAAAGGAAATATCTTCCCATAAAAACTGGACAGAAGCATTCTCAGAAACTTGTTTATGCTGTATCTACTCAACTAACAAAGTTGAACCTTTCTTTTGATAGAGCAGTTTTGAAATGGTCTTTTTGTGGAATCTGCAAGTGGATATTTGGCTAGTTTTGAGGATTTCGTTGGAAGCGGGAATTCATACAAATTGCAGACTGCAGCGTTCTGAGAAACATCTTTGTGATGTTTGTATTCAGGACACAGAGTTGAACATTCCCTATCATAGAGCAGGTTTGAATCACTCCTTTTGTAGTATCTGGAAGTGGACATTTGGAGCGCTTTCAGGCCTATGTTGGAAAAGGAAATATCTTCCCATAACAACTAGACAGAAGCATTCTCAGAAACTTATTTGAGATGTGTGTACTCAACTAAGAGAATTGAACCACCGTTTTGAAGGAGCAGTTTTGAAACACTCTTTTTCTGGAATCTGCAAGTGGATATTTGGCTAGCTTTGGGGATTTCGCTGGAAGCGGGAATACATATAAAAAGCACACAGCAGCGTTCTGAGAAACTGCTTTCTGATGTTTGCATTCAAGTCAAAAGTTGAACACTCCCTTTCATAGAGCAGTCTTGAAACACCCCTTTTGTAGTATCTGGAACTGGACTTTTGGAGCGATTTCAGGGCTAAGGTGAAAAAGGAAATATCTTCCCATAAAAACTGGACAGAAGCATTCTCAGAAACTTGTTTATGCTGTATCTACTCAACTAACAAAGTTGAACCTTTCTTTTGATAGAGCAGTTTTGAAATGGTCTTTTTGTGGAATCTGCAAGTGGATATTTGGCTAGTTTTGAGGATTTCGTTGGAAGCGGGAATTCATACAAATTGCAGACTGCAGCGTTCTGAGAAACATCTTTGTGATGTTTGTATTCAGGACACAGAGTTGAACATTCCCTATCATAGAGCAGGTTGGAATCACTCCTTTTGTAGTATCTGGAAGTGGACATTTGGAGCGCTTTCAGGCCTATGTTGAAAAAGGAAATATCTTCCCATAACAACTAGACACAAGCATTCTCAGAAACTTGTTTGTGATGTGTGCCCTCTACTGACAGAGTTGAACCTTTCTTTTCATAGAGCAGTTTTGAAACACTCTTTTTGTAGAATCTGCAAGAGGATATTTGCATAGCTTTGAGGATTTCGTGGGAAACGGGATTGTCTTCAGGTAAAATCTAGACAGAAGCATTCTCAGAAACTTCTTTGGGATGTTTGCATTCAAGTCACAGAGTAGAACATTCCCTTTGGTAGAGCAGGTTTGAAACGCTCTTTTTGTAGTATCTGGAAGTGGACATTTGGAGCGCTTTCAGGCCCATGTTGGAAAGGGAAATATCTTCCCGTAACAACTAGGCAGAAGCATTCTCAGAAACTTATTTGAGATGTGTGTACTCAACTAAGAGAATTGAACCACCGTTTTGAAGGAGCAGTTTTGAAACACTCTTTCTCTGGAATCTGCAAGAGTATATTTGCCTAGCCTTGAGAATTTCGTTGGAAACGGGATTGTCTTCAGATCAAATCTAGACAGAAGCATTCTCAGAAACTTCTTTGGGATGTTTGCATTCAAGTCACAGAGTAGAACATTCCCTTTGGTAGAGCAGTTTTGAAACACTCTTTTTTTAGTATATGGAAGTGGACATTTGGAGCGCTTTCAGGCCTACGTTGGAAAAGGAAATATCTTCCCATAACAACTAGACAGAAGCATTCTCAGAAACTAGTTTCTGATGTGTGTCCTCAACTAACACAGTTGAACTTTTCTTTAGACAGAACAGTTTTGAAACACTCTTTTTGTGGAATCTGCAAGTGGATATTTGGCTAGATTTGAGGATTTCGGTGGAAACGGGATTACATATAAAAAGCAGTCAGCAGCATTCTCAGAAAGATCTTTGTGATGATTGCATTCAAGTCACAGAATTGAACATTCCCTTTCACAGAGCAGGTTTGAAACACTCTTTTTGTAGTGTGTGTAAGTGGACATTTGGAGCACTTTCCGGCCTAAGGTGAAAAAGGAAATATCTTCCCATAAAAACTAGACAGAAGCATTCTCAGAAACTTACTCGTGATGTGTGTCCTCAACTAAAGGAGTAGAACCTTTCTATTCATAGAGAAGGTTTGAAACGCTCTTTTTGTGGAATCTCCAAGTGGATATTTGGCTAGTTTTGAGGATTTCGTTGGATGCGGGAATTCATACAAATTGCAGACTGCAGCGTTCTGAAAAACATCTTTGTGATGTTTGTATTCAGGACACAGAGATGAACATTCCCTATCATAGAGCAGGTTGGAATCACTCCTTTCGTAGTATCTGGAAGTGGACATTTGGAGCGCTTTCAGGCCTATGTTGAAAAAGGAAATATCTTCCCATAACAACTAGACACAAGCATTCTCAGAAACTTGTTTGTGATGTGTGCCCTCTGCTGACAGAGTTGAACCTTTCTTTTCATAGAGCAGTTTTGAAACACTCTTTTTGTAGAATCTGCAAGAGGATATTTGCATAGCTTTGAGGATTTCGTGGGAAACGGGATTGTCTTCAGGTAAAATCTAGACAGAAGCATTCTCAGAAACTTCTTTGGGATGTTTGCATTCAAGTCACAGAGTAGAACATTCCCTTTGGTAGAGCAGGTTTGAAACCCTCTTTTTGTAGTATCTGGAAGTGGACATTTGGAGCGCTTTCAGGCCCATGTTGGAAAGGGAAATATCTTCCCGTAACAACTAGGCAGAAGCATTCTCAGAAACTTATTTGAGATGTGTGTACTCAACTGAGAGAACTGAACCACCGTTTTGAAGGAGCAGTTTTGAAACACTCTTTTTCTGGAATCTGCAAGAGTATATTTGCCTAGCCTTGAAGATTTCGTTGGAAACGGGATTGTCTTCAGATAAAATCTAGACAGAAGCATTCTCAGAAACTTCTTTGGGATGTTTGCATTCAAGTCACAGAGTAGAACATTCCCTTTGGTAGAGCAGGTTTGAAACACTCTTTTTTTAGTATATGGAAGTGGACATTTGGAGCGCTTTCAGGCCTACGTTGGAAAAGGAAATATCTTCCCATAACAACTAGACAGAAGCATTCTCAGAAACTAGTTTCTGATGTGTGTCCTCAACTAACACAGTTGAACTTTTCTTTAGACAGAACAGTTTTGAAACACTCTTTTTGTGGAATCTGCAAGTGGCTATTTGGCTAGATTTGAGGATTTCGTTGGAAACGGGATTACATATAAAAAGCAGACAGCAGCATTCTCAGAAAGTTCTTTGTGATGATTGCATTCAAGTCACAGAATTGAACATTCCCTTTCACAGAGCAGGTTTGAAACACTCTTTTTGTAGTGTGTGTAAGTGGACATTTGGAGCACTTTCCGGCCTAAGGTGAAAAAGGAAATATCTTCCCATACAAACTAGACAGAAGCATTCTCAGAAACTTACTCGTGATGTGTGTCCTCAACTAAAGGAGTAGAACCTTTGTTTTCATAGAGAAGTTTTGAAACGCTCTTTTTGTGGAATCTGCAAGTGGATATTTGGCTAGTTTGGAGGATTTCGTTGGAAGCGGGAATTCATACAAATTGCAGACTGCAGCGTTCTGAGAAACATCTTTGTGATGTTTGTATTCAGGACACAGAGTTGAACATTCCCTATCATAGAGCAGGTTTGAATCACTCCTTTTGTAGTATCTGGAAGTGGACATTTGGAGCGCTTTCAGGCCTATGTTGGAAAAGGAAATATCTTCCCATAACAACTAGACAGAAGCATTCTCAGAAACTTATTTGAGATGTGTGTACTCAACTAAGAGAATTGAACCACCGTTTTGAAGGAGCAGTTTTGAAACACTCTTTTTCTGGAATCTGCAAGTGGATATTTGGCTAGCTTTGGGGATTTCGCTGGAAGCGGGAATACATATAAAAAGCACACAGCAGCGTTCTGAGAAACTGCTTTCTGATGTTTGCATTCAAGTCAAAAGTTGAACACTCCCTTTCATAGAGCAGTCTTGAAACACCCCTTTTGTAGTATCTGGAACTGGACTTTTGGAGCGATTTTAGGGCTAAGGTGAAAAACGAAATATCTTCCCATAAAAACTGGACAGAAGCATTCTCAGAAACTTGTTTATGCTGTATCTACTCAACTAACAAAGTTGAACCTTTCTTTTGATAGAGCAGTTTTGAAATGGTCTTTTTGTGGAATCTGCAAGTGGATATTTGGCTAGTTTTGAGGATTTCGTTGGAAGCGGGAATTCATACAAATTGCAGACTGCAGCGTTCTGAGAAACATCTTTGTGATGTTTGTATTCAGGACAGAGAGTTGAACATTCCCTATCATAGAGCAGGTTGGAATCACTCCTTTTGTAGTATCTGGAAGTGGACATTTGGAGCGCTTTCAGGCCTATGTTGAAAAAGGAAATATCTTCCCATAACAACTAGACACAAGCATTCTCAGAAACTTGTTTGTGATGTGTGCCCTCTAGTGACAGAGTTGAACCTTTCTTTTCATAGAGCAGTTTTGAAACACTCTTTTTGTAGAATCTGCAAGAGGATATTTGCATAGCTTTGAGGATTACGTGGGAAACGGGATAGTCTTCAGGTAAAATCTAGACAGAAGCATTCTCAGAAACTTCTTTGGGATGTTTGCATTCAAGTCACAGAGTAGAACATTCCCTTTGGTAGAGTAGGTTTGAAACACTCTTTTTGTAGTATCTGGAAGTGGACATTTGGAGCGCTTTCAGGCCTATGTTGGAAAGGGAAATATCTTCCCGTAACAACTAGGCAGAAGCATTCTCAGAAACTTATTTGAGATGTGTGTATTCAACTAAGAGAGTTGAACCACCGTTTTGAAGGAGCAGTTTTGAAACACTCTTTTTCTGGAATCTGAAAGAGGATATTTGCCTAGCCTTGAGGATTTCGTTGGAAACGAGATTGTCTTCAGATCAAATCTATACAGAAGCATTCTCAGAAACTTCTTTGGGATGTTTGCATTCAAGTCACAGAGTAGAACATTCCCTTTGGTAGAGCAGGTTTGAAACACTCTTTTTTTAGTATATGGAAGTGGACATTTGGAGCGCATTCAGGCCTACGTTGGAAAAGGAAATATCTTCCCATAACAACTAGACAGAAGCATTCTCAGAAACTAGTTTCTGATGTGTGTCCTCAACTAACACAGTTGCACATTTCTTTAGACAGAACAGTTTTGAAACACTCTTTTTGTGGAATCTGCAAGTGGCTATTTGGCTAGATTTGAGGATTTCGTTGGAAACGGGATTACATATAAAAAGCAGTCAGCAGCATTCTCAGAAAGTTCTTTGTGATGATTGCATTCAAGTCACAGAATTGAACATTCCCTTTCACAGAGCAGGTTTGAAATACTCTTTTTTAGTGTGTGTAATTGGACATTTGGAGCACTTTCCGGCCTAAGGTGAAAAAGGAAATATCTTCCCATAAAAACTAGACAGAAGCATTCTCAGAAACTTACTCGTGATGTGTGTCCTCCACTAAATGAGTAGAACCTTTCTTTTCATAGAGAAGTTTTGAAACGCTCTTTTTGTAGAATCTGCAAGAGGATATTTGCATAGCTTTGAGGATTTCGTGGGAAACGGGATTGTCTTCAGGTAAAATCTAGACAGAAGCATTCTCAGGAACTTCTTCGGGATGTTTGCATTCAAGTCACAGAGTAGAACATTCCCTTCGGTAGAGCAGGTTTGAAACACTCTTTTTGTAGTATCTGGAAGTGGACATTTGGAGCGCTTTCAGGCCTATGTTGGAAAGGGAAATTTCTTCCTGTAACAATTAGGCAGAAGCATTCTCAGAAACTTATTTGAGATGTGTGTACTCAACTAAGAGAATTGAACCATCCTTTTGAAGGAGTAGTTTTGAAACACTCTTTTTCTGGAATCTGCAAGAGAATATTTGCATAGCTTTGAGGATTTCGTTGGAAACGGGATTGTCTTCAGATAAAATCTAGACAGAAGCATTCTCAGAAACTTCTTTGGGATGTTTGCATTCAAGTCACAGAGTAGAACATTCCCTTTGGTAGAGCAGGTTTGAAACACTCTTTTTTTAGTATATGGAAGTGGACATTTGGAGCGCTTTCAGGCCTACGTTGGAAAAGGAAATATCTTCCCATAACAACTAGACAGAAGCATTCTCAGAAACTAGTTTCTGATGTGTGTCCTCAACTAACACAGTTGAACATTTCTTTTGACAGAACAGTTTTGAAACACTCTTTTTGTGGATTCTGCAAGTGGATATTTGGCTAGAGTTGAGGATTTCGTTGGAAACGGGATTACATATAAAAAGCAGACAGCAGCATTCTCAGAAAGTTCTTTGTGATGATTGCATTCAAGTCACAGAATTGAACATTCCCTTTCACAGAGCAGGTTTGAAACACTCTTTTTGTAGTGTGTGTAAGTGGACATTTGGAGCACTTACCGGCCTAAGGTGAAAAAGGAAATATCTTCCCATAAAAACTAGACAGAAGCATTCTCAGAAACTTACTCGTGATGTGTGTCCTCAACTAAAGGAGTAGAACCTTTCTATTCGTAGAGAAGTTTTGAAATGCTCTTTTTGTGGAATCTCCAAGTGGATATTTGGCTAGTTTTGAGGATTTCGTTGGAAGCGGGAATTCATACAAATTGCAGACTGCAGCGTTCTGAGAAACATCTTTGTGATGTTTGTATTCAGGACACAGAGTTGAACATTCCCTATCATAGAGCAGGTTGGAATCACTCCTTTTGTAGTATCTGGAAGTGGACATTTGGAGCGCTTTCAGGCCTATGTTGGAAAAGGAAATATCTTCCCATAAACAACTAGACAGAAGCATTCTCAGAAACTTATTTGAGATGTGTGTACTCAACTAAGAGAATTGAACCACCGTTTTGAAGGAGCAGTTTTGAAACACTCTTTTTCTGGAATCTGCAAGTGGATATTTGGCTAGCTTTGGGGATTTCGCTGGAAGCGGGAATACATATAAAAAGCACACAGCAGCGTTCTGAGAAACTGCTTTCTGATGTTTGCATTCAAGTCAAAAGTTGAACACTCCCTTTCATAGAGCAGTCCTGAAACACTCCTTTTGTAGTATCTGGAACTGGACTTTTGGAGCGCTTTCAGGGCTAAGGTG
Organism: Homo sapiens; assembly: GCF_000001405.40. Taxonomy (NCBI): domain Eukaryota; kingdom Metazoa; phylum Chordata; class Mammalia; order Primates; family Hominidae; genus Homo; species Homo sapiens. The sequence goes on from NC_000018.10 coordinate 19,056,192, forward strand.
AAAAAGGAAATATCTTCCCATAAAAACTGGACAGAAGCATTCTCAGAAACTTGTTTATGCTGTATCTACTCAACTAACAAAGTTGAACCTTTCTTTTGATAGAGCAGTTTTGAAATGCTCTTTTTGTGGAATCTGCAAGTGGATATTTGGCTAGTTTTGAGGATTTCGTTGGAAGCGGGAATTCATACAAATTGCAGACTGCAGCGTTCTGAGAAACATCTTTGTGATGTTTGTATTCAGGACACAGAGTTGAACATTCCCTATCATAGAGCAGGTTGGAATCACTCCTTTTGTAGTATCTGGAAGTGGACATTTGGAGCGCTTTCAGGCCTATGTTGGAAAACGAAATATCTTCCCATAACAACTAGACAGAAGCATTCTCAGAAACTTATTTGAGATGTGTGTACTCAACTAAGAGAATTGAACCACCGTTTTGAAGGAGCAGTTTTGAAACACTCTTTTTCTGGAATCTGCAAGTGGATATTTGGCTAGCTTTGGGGATTTCGCTGGAAGCGGGAATACATATAAAAAGCACACAGCAGCGTTCTGAGAAACTGCTTTCTGATGTTTGCATTCAAGTCAAAAGTTGAACACTCCCTTTCATAGAGCAGTCCTGAAACACTCCTTTTGTAGTATCTGGAACTGGACTTTTGGAGCGCTTTCAGGGCTAAGGTGAAAAAGGAAATATCTTCCCATAAAAACTGGACAGAAGCATTCTCAGAAACTTACTCGTATTGTGTGTCCTCAACTAAAGGAGTAGAACCTTTCTTTTCATAGAGAAGTTTTGAAACGCTCTTTTTGTGGAATCTGCAAGTGGATATTTGGCTAGTTTTGAGGATTTCGTTGGAAGCGGGAATTCATACAAATTGCAGACTGCAGCGTTCTGAGAAACATCTTTGTGATGTTTGTATTCAGGACACAGAGTTGAACATTCCCTATCATAGAGCAGGTTTGAATCACTCCTTTTGTAGTATCTGGAAGTGGACATTTGGAGCGCTTTCAGGCCTATGTTGGAAAAGGAAATATCTTCCCATAACAACTAGACAGAAGCATTCTCAGAAACTTATTTGAGATGTGTGTACTCAACTAAGAGAATTGAACCACTGTTTTGAAGGAGCAGTTTTGAAACACTCTTTTTCTGGAATCTGCAAGTGGATATTTGGCTAGCTTTGGGGATTTCGCTGGAAGCGGGAATACATATAAAAAGCACACAGCAGCGTTCTGAGAAACTGCTTTCTGATGTTTGCATTCAAGTCAAAAGTTGAACACTCCCTTTCATAGTGCAGTCCTGAAACACTCCTTTTGTAGTATCTGGAACTGGACTTTTGGAGCGCTTTCAGGGCTAAGGTGAAAAAGGAAATATCTTCCCATAAAAACTGGACAGAAGCATTCTCAGAAACTTGTTTATGCTGTATCTACTCAACTAACAAAGTTGAACCTTTCTTTTGATAGAGCAGTTTTGAAATGCTCTTTTTGTGGAATCTGCAAGTGGATATTTGGCTAGTTTTGAGGATTTCGTTGGAAGCGGGAATTCATACAAATTGCAGACTGCAGCGTTCTGAGAAACATCTTTGTGATGTTTGTATTCAGGACACAGAGTTGAACATTCCCTATCATAGAGCAGGTTGGAATCACTCCTTTTGTAGTATCTGGAAGTGGACATTTGGAGCGCTTTCAGGCCTATTTTGGAAAGGGAAATATCTTCCCGTAACAACTATGCAGAAGCATTCTCAGAAACTTGTTTGTGATGTGTGCCCTCTACTGACAGAGTTGAACCTTTCTTTTCATAGAGCAGTTTTGAAACACTCTTTTTGTAGAATCTGCAAGAGGATATTTGCATAGCTTTGAGGATTTCGTGGGAAACGTGATTGTGTTCAGGTAAAATCTAGACAGAAGCATTCTCAGAAACTTCTTTGGGATGTTTGCATTCAAGTCACAGAGTAGAACATTCCCTTTGGTAGAGTAGGTTTGAAACACTCTTTTTGTAGTATCTGGAAGTGGACATTTGGAGCGCTTTCAGGCCTATGTTGGAAAGGGAAATATCTTCCCGTAACAACTAGGCAGAAGCATTCTCAGAAACTTATTTGAGATGTGTGTATTCAACTAAGAGAATTGAACCACCGTTTTGAAGGAGCAGTTTTGAAACACTCTTTTTCTGGAATCTGCAAGAGGATATTTGCCTAGCCTTGAGGATTTCGTTGGAAACGGGATTGTCTTCAGATCAAATCTATACAGAAGCATTCTCAGAAACTTCCTTGGGATGTTTGCATTCAAGTCACAGAGTAGAACATTCCCTTTGGTAGAGCAGGTTTGAAACACTCTTTTTTTAGTATATGGAAGTGGACATTTGGAGCGCATTCAGGCCTACGTTGGAAAAGGAAATATCTTCCCATAACAACTAGACAGAAGCATTCTCAGAAACTAGTTTCTGATGTGTGTCCTCAACTAACACAGTTGCACATTTCTTTAGACAGAACAGTTTTGAAACACTCTTTTTGTGGAATCTGCAAGTGGCTATTTGGCTAGATTTGAGGATTTCGTTGGAAACGGGATTACATATAAAAAGCAGTCAGCAGCATTCTCAGAAAGTTCTTTGTGATGATTGCATTCAAGTCACAGAATTGAACATTCCCTTTCACAGAGCAGGTTTGAAATACTCTTTTTTAGTGTGTGTAATTGGACATTTGGAGCACTTTCCGGCCTAAGGTGAAAAAGGAAATATCTTCCCATAAAAACTAGACAGAAGCATTCTCAGAAACTTACTCGTGATGTGTGTCCTCCACTAAATGAGTAGAACCTTTCTTTTCATAGAGAAGTTTTGAAACGCTCTTTTTGTAGAATCTGCAAGAGGATATTTGCATAGCTTTGAGGATTTCGTGGGAAACGGGATTGTCTTCAGGTAAAATCTAGACAGAAGCATTCTCAGTAAACTTCTTTGGGATGTTTGCATTCAAGTCACAGAGTAGAACATTCCCTTTGGTAGAGCAGGTTTGAAACACTCTTTTTGTAGTATCTGGAAGTGGACATTTGGAGCGCTTTCAGGCCTATGTTGGAAAGGGAAATATCTTCCCGTAACAACTAGGCAGAAGCATTCTCAGAAACTTATTTGAGATGTGTGTACTCAACTAAGAGAATTGAACCACCGTTTTGAAGGAGCAGTTTTGAAACACTCTTTTTCTGGAATCTGCAAGAGTATATTTGCCTAGCCTTGAGGATTTCGTTGGAAACGGGATTGTCTTCAGAGAAAATCTAGACAGAAGCATTCTCAGAAACTTCTTTGGGATGTTTGCATTCAAGTCACAGAGTAGAACATTCCCTTTGGTAGAGCAGGTTTGAAACACTCTTTTTTTAGTATATGGAAGTGGACATTTGGAGCGCTTTCAGGCCTACGTTGGAAAAGGAAATATCTTCCCATAACAACTAGACAGAAGCATTCTCAGAAACTAGTTTCTGATGTGTGTCCTCAACTAACACAGTTGAACATTTCTTTAGACAGAACAGTTTTGAAACACTCTTTTTGTGGAATCTGCAAGTGGATATTTGGCTAGATTTGAGGATTTCGTTGGAAACGGGATTACATATAAAAAGCAGACAGCAGCATTCTCAGAAAGTTCCTTGTGATGATTGCATTCAAGTCACAGAATTGAACATTCCCTTTCACAGAGCAGGTTTGAAACACTCTTTTTGTAGTGTGTGTAAGTGGACATTTGGAGCACTTTCCGGCCTAAGGTGAAAAAGGAAATATCTTCCCATAAAAACTAGACAGAAGCATTCTCAGAAACTTACTCGTGATGTGTGTCCTCAACTAAAGGATTAGAACCTTTCTTTTCATAGAGAAGTTTTGAAACGCTCTTTTTGTGGAATCTGCAAGTGGATATTTGGCTAGTTTGGAGGATTTCGTTGGAAGCGGGAATTCATACAAATTGCAGACTGCAGCGTTCTGAGAAACATCTTTGTGATGTTTGTATTCAGGACACAGAGTTGAACATTCCCTATCATAGAGCAGGTTTGAATCACTCCTTTTGTAGTATCTGGAAGTGGACATTTGGAGCGCTTTCAGGCCTATGTTGGAAAAGGAAATATCTTCTCATAACAACTAGACAGAAGCATTCTCAGAAACTTATTTGAGATGTGTGTACTCAACTAAGAGAATTGAACCACCGTTTTGAAGGAGCAGTTTTGAAACACTCTTTTTCTGGAATCTGCAAGTGGATATTTGGCTAGCTTTGGGGATTTCGCTGGAGGCCGGAATACATATAAAAAGCACACAGCAGCGTTCTGAGAAACTGCTTTCTGATGTTTGCATTCAAGTCAAAAGTTGAACACTCCCTTTCATAGAGCAGTCCTGAAACACCCCTTTTGTAGTATCTGGAACTGGACTTTTGGAGAGCTTTCAGGGCTAAGGTGAAAAAGGAAATATCTTCCCATAAAAACTGGACAGAAGCATTCTCAGAAACTTGTTTATGCTGTATCTACTCAACTAACAAAGTTGAACCTTTCTTTTGATAGAGCAGTTTTGAAATGCTCTTTTTGTGGAATCTGCAAGTGGATATTTGGCTAGTTTTGAGGATTTCGTTGGAAGCGGGAATTCATACAAATTGCAGACTGCAGCGTTCTGAGAAACATCTTTGTGATGTTTGTATTCAGGACAGAGAGTTGAACATTCCCTATCATAGAGCAGGTTGGAATCACTCCTTTTGTAGTATCTGGAAGTGGACATTTGGAGCGCTTTCAGGCCTATGTTGAAAAAGGAAATATCTTCCCATAACAACTAGACACAAGCATTCTCAGAAACTTGTTTGTGATGTGTGCCCTCTACTGACAGAGTTGAACCTTTCTTTTCATAGAGCAGTTTTGAAACACTCTTTTTGTAGAATCTGCAAGAGGATATTTGCATAGCTTTGAGGATTTCGTGGGAAACGGGATTGTCTTCAGGTAAAATCTAGACAGAAGCATTCTCAGAAACTTCTTTGGGATGTTTGCATTCAAGTCACAGAGCAGAACATTCCCTTTGGTAGAGCAGGTTTGAAACACTCTTTTTGTAGTATCTGGAAGTGGACATTTGGAGCGCTTTCAGGCCTATGTTGGAAAGGGAAATATCTTCCCGTAACAACTAGGCAGAAGCATTCTCAGAAACTTATTTGAGATGTGTGTACTCAACTAAGAGAATTGAACCACCGTTTTGAAGGAGCAGTTTTGAAACACTCTTTTTCTGGAATCTGCAAGAGGATATTTGCCTAGCCTTGAGGATTTCGTTGGAAACGGGATTGTCTTCAGATCAAATCTAGACAGAAGCATTCTCAGAAACTTCTTTGGGATGTTAGCATTCATGTCACAGAGTAGAACATTCCCTTTGGTAGAGCAGGTTTGAAACACTCTTTTTTTAGTATATGGAAGTGGACATTTGGAGCGCTTTCAGGCCTACGTTGGAAAAGGAAATATCTTCCCATAACAACTAGACAGAAGCATTCTCAGAAACTCGTTTCTGATGTGTGTCCTCAACTAACACAGTTGAACATTTCTTTAGACAGAACAGTTTTGAAACACTCTTTTTGTGGAATCTGCAAGTGGCTATTTGGCTAGATTTGAGGATTTCGTTGGAAACGGGATTACATATAAAAAGCAGTCAGCAGCATTCTCAGAAAGTTCTTTGTGATGATTGCATTCAAGTCACAGAATTGAACATTCCCTTTCACAGAGCAGGTTTGAAACACTCTTTTTGTAGTGTGTGTAAGTGGACATTTGGAGCGCTTTCCGGCCTAAGGTGAAAAAGGAAATATCTTCCCATAAAAACTAGACAGAAGCATTCTCAGAAACTTACTCGTGATGTGTGTCCTCAACTAAAGGAGTAGAACCTTTCTATTCATAGAGAAGTTTTGAAACGCTCTTTTTGTGGAATCTCCAAGTGGATATTTGGCTAGTTTTGAGGATTTCGTTGGAAGCGGGAATTCATACAAATTGCAGACTGCAGCGTTCTGAGAAACATCTTTGTGATGTTTGTATTCAGGACACAGAGATGAACATTCCCTATCATAGAGCAGGTTGGAATCACTCCTTTTGTAGTATCTGGAAGTGGACATTTGGAGCGCTTTCAGGCCTATGTTGATAAAGGAAATATCTTCCCATAACAACTAGACACAAGCATTCTCAGAAACTTGTTTGTGATGTGTGCCCTCTACTGACAGAGTTGAACCTTTCTTTTCATAGAGCAGTTTTGAAACACTCTTTTTGTAGAATCTGCAAGAGGATATTTGCATAGCTTTGAGGATTTCGTGGGAAACGGGATTGTCTTCAGGTAAAATCTAGACAGAAGCATTCTCAGAAACTTCTTTGGGATGTTTGCATTCAAGTCACAGAGCAGAACATTCCCTTTGGTAGAGCAGGTTTGAAACACTCTTTTTGTAGTATCTGGAAGTGGACATTTGGAGCGCTTTCAGGCCTATGTTGGAAAGGGAAATATCTTCCCGTAACAACTAGGCAGAAGCATTCTCAGAAACTTATTTGAGATGTGTGTACTCAACTAAGAGAATTGAACCACCGTTTTGAAGGAGCAGTTTTGAAACACTCTTTTTCTGGAATCTGCAAGAGGATATTTGCCTAGCCTTGAGGATTTCGTTGGAAACGGGATTGTCTTCAGATCAAATCTAGACAGAAGCATTCTCAGAAACTTCTTTGGGATGTTTGCATTCAAGTCACAGAGTAGAACATTCCCTTTGGTGGAGCAGGTTTGAAACACTCTTTTTTTAGTATATGGAAGTGGACATTTGGAGCGCTTTCAGGCCTACGTTGGAAAAGGAAATATCTTCCCATAACAACTAGACAGAAGCATTCTCAGAAACTAGTTTCTGATGTGTGTCCTCAACTAACACAGTTGAACATTTCTTTAGACAGAACAGTTTTGAAACACTCTTTTTGTGGAATCTGCAAGTGGCTATTTGGCTAGATTTGAGGATTTCGTTGGAAACGGGATTACATATGAAAAGCAGACAGCAGCATTCTCAGAAACTTCTTTGTGATGATTGCATTCAAGTCACAGAATTGAACATTCCCTTTCACAGAGCAGGTTTGAAACACTCTTTTTGTAGTGTGTGTAAGTGGACATTTGGAGCACTTTCCGGCCTAAGGTGAAAAAGGAAATATCTTCCCATAAAAACTAGACAGAAGCATTCTCAGAAACTTACTCGTGATGTGTGTCCTCAACTAAAGGAGTAGAACCTTTCTTTTCATAGAGAAGTTTTGAAACGCTCTTTTTGTGGAATCTGCAAGTGGATATTTGGCTAGTTTGGAGGATTTCGTTGGAAGCGGGAATTCATACAAATTGCAGACTGCAGCGTTCTGAGAAACATCTTTGTGATGTTTGTATTCAGGACACAGAGTTGAACATTCCCTATCATAGAGCAGGTTTGAATCACTCCTTTTGTAGTATCTGGAAGTGGACATTTGGAGCGCTTTCAGGCCTATGTTGGAAAAGGAAATATCTTCCCATAACAACTAGACAGAAGCATTCTCAGAAACTTATTTGAGATGTGTGTACTCAACTAAGAGAATTGAACCACCGTTTTGAAGGAGCAGTTTTGAAACACTCTTTTTCTGGAATCTGCAAGTGGATATTTGGCTAGCTTTGGGGATTTCGCTGGAAGCGGGAATACATATAAAAAGCACACAGCAGCGTTCTGAGAAACTGCTTTCTGATGTTTGCATTCAAGTCAAAAGTTGAACACTCCCTTTCATAGAGCAGTCTTGAAACACCCCTTTTGTAGTATCTGGAACTGGACTTTTGGAGCGATTTCAGGGCTAAGGTGAAAAAGGAAATATCTTCCCATAAAAACTGGACAGAAGCATTCTCAGAAACTTGTTTATGCTGTATCTACTCAACTAACAAAGTTGAACCTTTCTTTTGATAGAGCAGTTTTGAAATGGTCTTTTTGTGGAATCTGCAAGTGGATATTTGGCTAGTTTTGAGGATTTCGTTGGAAGCGGGAATTCATACAAATTGCAGACTGCAGCGTTCTGAGAAACATCTTTGTGATGTTTGTATTCAGGACAGAGAGTTGAACATTCCCTATCATAGAGCAGGTTGGAATCACTCCTTTTGTAGTATCTGGAAGTGGACATTTGGAGCGCTTTCAGGCCTATGTTGAAAAAGGAAATATCTTCCCATAACAACTAGACACAAGCATTCTCAGAAACTTACTCGTGATGTGTGTCCTCCACTAAATGAGTAGAACCTTTCTTTTCATAGAGAAGTTTTGAAACGCTCTTTTTGTAGAATCTGCAAGAGGATATTTGCATAGCTTTGAGGATTTCGTGGGAAACGGGATTGTCTTCAGGTAAAATCTAGACAGAAGCATTCTCAGAAACTTCTTTGGGATGTTTGCATTCAAGTCACAGAGTAGAACATTCCCTTTGGTAGAGCAGGTTTGAAACCCTCTTTTTGTAGTATCTGGAAGTGGACATTTGGAGCGCTTTCAGGCCCATGTTGGAAAGGGAAATATCTTCCCGTAACAACTAGGCAGAAGCATTCTCAGAAACTTATTTGAGATGTGTGTACTCAACTAAGAGAATTGAACCACCGTTTTGAAGGAGCAGATTTGAAACACTCTTTTTCTGGAATCTGCAAGAGTATATTTGCCTAGCCTTGAAGATTTCGTTGGAAACGGGATTGTCTTCAGATAAAATCTAGACAGAAGCATTCTCAGAAACTTCTTTGGGATGTTTGCATTCAAGTCACAGAGTAGAACATTCCCTTTGGTAGAGCAGGTTTGAAACACTCTTTTTGTAGTATCTGGAAGTGGACATTTGGAGCGCTTTCAGGCCTACGTTGGAAAAGGAAATATCTTCCCATAACAACTAGACAGAAGCATTCTCAGAAACTAGTTTCTGATGTGTGTCCTCAACTAACACAGTTGAACTTTTCTTTAGACAGAACAGTTTTGAAACACTCTTTTTGTGGAATCTGCAAGTGGATATTTGGCTAGATTTGAGGATTTCGTTGGAAACGGGATTACATATAAAAAGCAGACTGCAGCATTCTCAGAAAGTTCTTTGTGGTGATTGCATTCAAGTCACAGAATTGAACATTCCCTTTCACAGAGCAGGTTTGAAACACTCTTTTTGTAGTGTGTGTAAGTGGACAGTTGGAGCGCTTTCCGGCCTAAGGTGAAAAAGGAAATATCTTCCCATAAAAACTAGACAGAAGCATTCTCAGAAACTTACTCGTGATGTGTGTCCTCAACTAAAGGAGTAGAACCTTTCTATTCATAGAGAAGTTTTGAAACGCTCTTTTTGTGGAATCTCCAAGTGGATATTTGGCTAGTTTTGAGGATTTCGTTGGAAGCGGGAATTCATACAAATTGCAGACTGCAGCGTTCTGAGAAACATCTTTGTGATGTTTGTATTCAGGACACAGAGATGAACATTCCCTATCATAGAGCAGGTTGGAATCACTCCTTTTGTAGTATCTGGAAGTGGACATTTGGAGCGCTTTCAGGCCTATGTTGAAAAAGGAAATATCTTCCCATAACAACTAGACACAAGCATTCTCAGAAACTTATTTGAGATGTGTGTATTCAACTAAGAGAATTGAACCACCGTTTTGAAGGAGCAGTTTTGAAACTCTCTTTTTCTGGAATCTGCAAGTGGATATTTGGCTAGCTTTGGGGATTTCGCTGGAAGCGGGAATACATATAAAAAGCACACAGCAGCGTTCTGAGAAACTGCTTTCTGATGTTTGCATTCAAGTCAAAAGTTGAACACTCCCTTTCATAGAGCAGTCCTGAAACACCCCTTTTGTAGTATCTGGAACTGGACTTTTGGAGCGATTTCAGGGCTAAGGTGAAAAAGGAAATATCTTCCCATAAAAACTGGACAGAAGCATTCTCAGAAACTTGTTTATGCTGTATCTACTCAACTAACAAAGTTGAACCTTTCTTTTGATAGAGCAGTTTTGAAATGGTCTTTTTGTGGAATCTGCAAGTGGATATTTGGCTAGTTTTGAGGATTTCGTTGGAAGCGGGAATTCATACAAATTGCAGACTGCAGCGTTCTGAGAAACATCTTTGTGATGTTTGCATTCAGGACAGAGAGTTGAACATTCCCTATCATAGAGCAGGTTGGAATCACTCCTTTTGTAGTATCTGGAAGTGGACATTTGGAGCGCTTTCTGGCCTATGTTGAAAAAGGAAATATCTTCCCATAACAACTAGACACAAGCATTCTCAGAAACTTGTTTGTGATGTGTGCCCTCTACTGACAGAGTTGAACCTTTCTTTTCATAGAGCAGTTTTGAAACACTCTTTTTGTAGAATCTGCAAGAGGATATTTGCATAGCTTTGAGGATTTCGTGGGAAACGGGATTGTCTTCAGGTAAAATCTAGACAGAAGCATTCTCAGAAACTTCTTTGGGATGTTTGCATTCAAGTCACAGAGTAGAACATTCCCTTTGGTAGAGCAGGTTTGAAACACTCTTTTTGTAGTATCTGGAAGTGGACATTTGGAGCGCTTTCAGGCCTATGTTGGAAAGGGAAATATCTTCCCGTAACAACTAGGCAGAAGCATTCTCAGAAACTTATTTGAGATGTGTGTACTCAACTAAGAGAATTGAACCACCGTTTTGAAGGAGCAGTTTTGAAACACTCTTTTTCTGGAATCTGCAAGAGGATATTTGCCTAGCCTTGAGGATTTCGTTGGAAACGGGATTGTCTTCAGATCAAATCTAGACAGAAGCATTCTCAGAAACTTCTTTGGGATGTTTGCATTCAAGTCACAGAGTAGAACATTCCCTTTGGTAGAGCAGGTTTGAAACACTCTTTTTTTAGTATATGGAAGTGGACATTTGGAGCGCTTTCAGGCCTACGTTGGAAAAGGAAATATCTTCCCATAACAACTAGACAGAAGCATTCTCAGAAACTAGTTTCTGATGTGTGTCCTCAACTAACACAGTTGAACATTTCTTTAGACAGAACAGTTTTGAAACACTCTTTTTGTGGAATCTGCAAGTGGCTATTTGGCTAGATTTGAGGATTTCGTTGGAAACGGGATTACATATAAAAAGCAGACAGCAGCATTCTCAGAAAGTTCTTTGTGATGGTTGCATACAAGTCACAGAATTGAACATTCCCTTTCACAGAGCAGGTTTGAAACACTCTTTTTGTAGTGTGTGTAAGTGGACATTTGGAGCACTTTCCGGCCTAAGGTGAAAAAGGAAATATCTTCCCATAAAAACTAGACAGAAGCATTCTCAGAAACTTACTCGTGATGTGTGTCCTCAACTAAAGGAGTAGAACCTTTCTTTTCATAGAGAAGTTTTGAAACGCTCTTTTTGTGGAATCTGCAAGTGGATATTTGGCTAGTTTTGAGGATTTCGTTGGAAGCGGGAATTCATACAAATTGCAGACTGCAGCGTTCTGAGAAACATCTTTGTGATGTTTGTATTCAGGACACAGAGTTGAACATTCCCTATCATAGAGCAGGTTTGAATCACTCCCTTTGTAGTATCTGGAAGTGGACATTTGGAGCGCTTTCAGGCCTATGTTGGAAAAGGAAATATCTTCCCATAACAACTAGACAGAAGCATTCTCAGAAACTTATTTGAGATGTGTGTACTCAACTAAGAGAATTGAACCACCGTTTTGAAGGAGCAGTTTTGAAACACTCTTTTTCTGGAATCTGCAAGTGGATATTTGGCTAGCTTTGGGGATTTCGCTGGAAGCGGGAATACATATAAAAAGCACACAGCAGCGTTCTGAGAAACTGCTTTCTGATGTTTGCATTCAAGTCAAAAGTTGAACACTCCCTTTCATAGAGCAGTCCTGAAACACTCCTTTTGTAGTATCTGGAACTGGACTTTTGGAGCGCTTTCAGGGCTAAGGTGAAAAAGGAAATATCTTCCCATAAAAACTGGACAGAAGCATTCTCAGAAACTTACTCGTATTGTGTGTCCTCAACTAAAGGAGTAGAACCTTTCTTTTCATAGAGAAGTTTTGAAACGCTCTTTTTGTGGAATCTGCAAGTGGATATTTGGCTAGTTTTGAGGATTTCGTTGGAAGCGGGAATTCATACAAATTGCAGACTGCAGCATTCTCAGAAACTTGTTTATGCTGTATCTACTCAACTAACAAAGTTGAACCTTTCTTTTGATAGAGCAGTTTTGAAATGCTCTTTTTGTGGAATCTGCAAGTGGATATTTGGCTAGTTTTGAGGATTTCGTTGGAAGCGGGAATTCATACAAATTGCAGACTGCAGCGTTCTGAGAAACATCTTTGTGATGTTTGTATTCAGGACAGAGAGTTGAACATTCCCTATCATAGAGCAGGTTGGAATCACTCCTTTTGTAGTATCTGGAAGTGGACATTTGGAGCGCTTTCAGGCCTATGTTGAAAAAGGAAATATCTTCCCATAACAACTAGACACAAGCATTCTCAGAAACTTGTTTGTGATGTGTGCCCTCTACTGACAGAGTTGAACCTTTCTTTTCATAGAGCAGTTTTGAAACACTCTTTTTGTAGAATCTGCAAGAGGATATTTGCATAGCTTTGAGGATTTCGTGGGAAACGGGATTGTCTTCAGGTAAAATCTAGACAGAAGCATTCTCAGAAACTTCTTTGGGATGTTTGCATTCAAGTCACAGAGTAGAACATTCCCTTTGGTAGAGCAGGTTTGAAACACTCTTTTTGTAGTATCTGGAAGTGGACATTTGGAGCGCTTTCAGGCCTATGTTGGAAAGGGAAATATCTTCCGGTAACAACTAGGCAGAAGCATTCTCAGAAACTTATTTGAGATGTGTGTACTCAACTAAGAGAATTGAACCACCGTTTTGAAGGAGCAGTTTTGAAACACTCTTTTTCTGGAATCTGCAAGAGGATATTTGCCTAGCTTTGAGGATTTCGTTGGAAACGGGATTGTGTTCAGATCAAATCTAGACAGAAGCATTCTCAGAAACTTCTTTGGGATGTTTGCATTCAAGTCACAGAGTAGAACATTCCCTTTGGTAGAGCAGGTGTGAAACACTCTTTTTTTAGTATATGGAAGTGGACATTTGGAGCGCTTTCAGGCCTACGTTGGAAAAGGAAATATCTTCCCATAACAACTAGACAGAAGCATTCTCAGAAACTAGTTTCTGATGTGTGTCCTCAACTAACACAGTTGTACATTTCTTTAGACAGAACAGATTTGAAACACTCTTTTGGTGGAATCTGCAAGTGGCTATTTGGCTAGATTTGAGGATTTCGTTGGAAACGGGATTACATATAAAAAGCAGTCAGCAGCATTCTCAGAAAGTTCTTTGTGATGATTGCATTCAAGTCACAGAATTGAACATTCCCTTTCACAGAGTAGGTTTGAAACACTCTTTTTGTAGTGTGTGTAAGTGGACATTTGGAGCGCTATCCGGCCTAAGGTGAAAAAGGAAATATCTTCCCATAAAAACTAGACAGAAGCATTCTCAGAAACTTACTCGTGATGTGTGTCCTCAACTAAAGGAGTAGAACCTTTCTATTCATAGAGAAGTTTTGAAACGCTCTTTTTGTGGAATCTCCAAGTGGATATTTGGCTAGTTTTGAGGATTTCGTTGGAAGCGGGAATTCATACAAATTGCAGACTGCAGCGTTCTGAGAAACATCTTTGTGATGTTTGTATTCAGGACACAGAGATGAACATTCCCTATCATAGAGCAGGTTGGAATCACTCCTTTTGTAGTATCTGGAAGTGGACATTTGGAGCGCTTTCAGGCCCTATGTTGAAAAAGGAAATATCTTCCCATAACAACTAGACACAAGCATTCTCAGAAACTTGTTTGTGATGTGTGCCCTCTACTGACAGAGTTGAACCTTTCTTTTCATAGAGCAGTTTTGAAACACTCTTTTTGTAGAATCCGCAAGAGGATATTTGCATAGCTTTGAGGATTTCGTGGGAAACGGGATTGTCTTCAGGTAAAATCTAGACAGAAGCATTCTCAGAAACTTCTTTGGGATGTTTGCATTCAAGTCACAGAGTAGAACATTCCCTTTGGTAGAGCAGGTTTGAAACACTCTTTTTGTAGTATCTGGAAGTGGACATTTGGAGCGCTTTCAGGCCCATGTTGGAAAGGGAAATATCTTCCCGTAACAACTAGGCAGAAGCATTCTCAGAAACTTATTTGAGATGTGTGTACTCAACTAAGAGAACTGAACCACCGTTTTGAAGGAGCAGTTTTGAAACCCTCATTTCTGGAATCTGCAAGAGTATATTTGCCTAGCCTTGAGGATTTCGTTGGAAACGGGATTGTCTTCAGATCAAATCTAGACAGAAGCATTCTCAGAAACTTCTTTGGGATGTTTGCATTCAAGTCACAGGGTAGAACATTCCCTTTGGTAGAGCAGGTTTGAAACACTCTTTTTGTAGTGTGTGTAAGTGGACATTTGGAGCGCTTTCAGGCCTACGTTGGAAAAGGAAATATCTTCCCATAACAACTAGACAGAAGCATTCTCAGGAAACTAGTTTCTGATGTGTGTCCTCAACTAACACAGTTGAACATTTCTTTAGACAGAACAGTTTTGAAACACTCTCTTTGTGGAATCTGCAAGTGGATATTTGGCTAGATTTGAGGATTTCATTGGAAACGGGATTACATATAAAAAGCAGACAGCAGCATTCTCAGAAACTTCTTTGTGATGATTGCATTCAAGTCACAGAATTGAACATTCCCTTTCACAGAGCAGGTTTGAAACACTCTTTTTGTAGTGTGTGTAAGTGGACATTTGGAGCGCTTTCCGGCCTAAGGTGAACAAGGAAATATCTTCCCATAAAAACTAGACAGAAGCATTCTCAGAAACTTACTCGTGATGTGTGTCCTCAACTAAAGGAGTAGAACCTTTCTTTTCATAGAGAAGTTTTGAAACGCTCTTCTTGTGGAATCTGCAAGTGGATATTTGGCTAGTTTGGAGGATTTCGTTGGAAGCGGGAATTCATACAAATTGCAGACTGCAGCGTTCTGAGAAACATCTTTGTGATGTTTGTATTCAGGACACAGAGTTGAACATTCCCTATCATAGAGCAGGTTGGAATCACTCCTTTTGTAGTATCTGGAAGTGGACATTTGGAGCGCTTTCAGGCCTATGTTGGAAAAGGAAATATCTTCCCATAACAACTAGACAGAAGCATTCTCAGAAACTTATTTGAGATGTGTGTACTCAACTAAGAGAATTGAACCACCGTTTTGAAGGAGCAGTTTTGAAACACTCTTTTTCTGGAATCTGCAAGTGGATATTTGGCTAGCTTTGGGGATTTCGCTGGAAGCGGGAATACATATAAAAAGCACACAGCAGCGTTCTGAGAAACTGCTTTCTGATGTTTGCATTCAAGTCAAAAGTTGAACACTCCCTTTCATAGAGCAGTCCTGAAACACTCCTTTTGTAGTATCTGGAACTGGACTTTTGGAGCGCTTTCAGGGCTAAGGTGAAAAAGGAAATATCTTCCCATAAAAACTGGACAGAAGCATTCTCAGAAACTTGTTTATGCTGTATCTACTCTACTAAAAAAGTTGAACCTTTCTTTTGATAGAGCAGTTTTGAAATGCTCTTTTTGTGGAATCTGCAAGTGGATATTTGGCTAGATTTGAGGATTTCGTTGGAAGCTGGAATACATACAAATTGCAGACTGCAGCGTTCTGAGAAACATCTTTGTGATGTTTGTATTCAGGACACAGAGTTGAACATTCCCTATCATAGAGCAGGTTGGAATCACTCCTTTTGTAGTATCTGGAAGTGGACATTTGGAGCGCTTTCAGGCCTATTTTGGAAAGGGAAATATCTTCCCGTAACAACTATGCAGAAGCATTCTCAGAAACTTGTTTGTGATGTGTGCCCTCTACTGACAGAGTTGAACCTTTCTTTTCATAGAGCAGTTTTGAAACACTCTTTTTGTAGAATCTGCAAGAGGATATTTGCATAGCTTTGAGGATTTCGTGGGAAACGGGATTGTCTTCAGGTAAAATCTAGACAGAAGCATTCTCAGAAACTTCTTTGGGATGTTTGCATTCAAGTCACAGAGTAGAACATTCCCTTTGGTAGAGCAGGTTTGAAACCCTCTTTTTGTAGTATCTGGAAGTGGACATTTGGAGCGCTTTCAGGCCCATGTTGGAAAGGGAAATATCTTCCCGTAACAACTAGGCAGAAGCATTCTCAGAAACTTATTTGAGATGTGTGTACTCAACTAAGAGAATTGAACCACCGTTTTGAAGGAGCAGTTTTGAAACACTCTTTTTCTGGAATCTGCAAGAGTATATTTGCCTAGCCTTGAGAATTTCGTTGGAAACGGGATTGTCTTCAGATAAAATCTAGACAGAAGCATTCTCAGAAACTTCTTTGGGATGTTTGCATTCAAGTCACAGAGTAGAACATTCCCTTTGTTAGAGCAGGTTTGAAACACTCTTTTTTTAGTATATGGAAGTGGACATTTGGAGCGCTTTCAGGCCTACGTTGGAAAAGGAAATATCTTCCCATAACAACTAGACAGAAGCATTCTCAGAAACTAGTTTCTGATGTGTGTCCTCAACTAACACAGTTGTACATTTCTTTATACAGAACAGTTTTGAAACACTCTTTTTGTGGAATCTGCAAGTGGATATTGGGCTAGATTTGAGGATTTCGTTGGAAACGGGATTACATATAAAAAGCAGACAGCAGCATTCTCAGAAAGTTCTTTGTGATGATTGCATTCAAGTCACAGAATTGAACATTCCCTTTCACAGAGCAGGTTTGAAACACTCTTTTTGTAGTGTGTGTAAGTGGACATTTGGAGCGCTTTCCGGCCTAAGGTGAAAAAGGAAATATCTTCCCATAAAAACTAGACAGAAGCATTCTCAGAAACTTACTCGTGATGTGTGTCCTCAACTAAAGGAGTAGAACCTTTCTATTCATAGAGAAGTTTTGAAACGCTCTTTTTGTGGAATCTCCAAGTGGATATTTGGCTAGTTTTGAGGATTTCGTTGGAAGCGGGAATTCATACAAATTGCAGACTGCAGCGTTCTGAGAAACATCTTTGTGATGTTTGTATTCAGGACACAGAGATGAACATTCCCTATCATAGAGCAGGTTGGAATCACGCCTTTTGTAGTATCTGGAAGTGGACATTTGGAGCGCTTTCAGGCCTATGTTGAAAAAGGAAATATCTTCCCATAACAACTAGACACAAGCATTCTCAGAAACTTGTTTGTGATGTGTGCCCTCTACTGACAGAGTTGAACCTTTCTTTTCATAGAGCAGTTTTGAAACACTCTTTTTGTAGAATCCGCAAGAGGATATTTGCATAGCTTTGAGGATTTCGTGGGAAACGGGATTGTCTTCAGGTAAAATCTAGACAGAAGCATTCTCAGAAACTTCTTTGGGATGTTTGCATTCAAGTCACAGAGTAGAACATTCCCTTTCGTAGAGCAGGTTTGAAACACTCTTTTTGTAGTATCTGGAAGTGGACATTTGGAGCGCTTTCAGGCCCATGTTGGAAAGGGAAATATCTTCCCGTAACAACTAGGGCAGAAGCATTCTCAGAAACTTATTTGAGATGTGTGTACTCAACTAAGAGAATTGAACCACCGTTTTGAAGGAGCAGTTTTGAAACACTCTTTTTCTGGAATCTGCAAGAGGATATTTGCCTAGCCTTGAGGATTTCGTTGGAAACGGGATTGTCTTCAGATCAAATCTAGACAGAAGCATTCTCAGAAACTTCTTTGGGATGTTTGCATTCAAGTCACAGAGTGGAACATTCCCTTTGGTAGAGCAGGTTTGAAACACTCTTTTTTTAGTATATGGAAGTGGACATTTGGAGCGCTTTCAGGCCTACGTTGGAAAAGGAAATATCTTCCCATAACAACTAGACAGAAGCATTCTCAGAAACTAGTTTCTGATGTGTGTCCTCAACTAACACAGTTGAACATTTCTTTAGACAGAACAGTTTTGAAACACTCTTTTTGTGGAATCTGCAAGTGGCTATTTGGCTAGATTTGAGGATTTCGTTGGAAACGGGATTACATATACAAAGCAGACAGCAGCATTCTCAGAAAGTTCTTTGTGATGATTGCATTCAAGTCACAGAATTGAACATTCCCTTTCACAGAGCAGGTTTGAAACACTCTTTTTGTAGTGTGTGTAAGTGGACATTTGGAGCACTTTCCGGCCTAAGGTGAAAAAGGAAATATCTTCCCATAAAAACTAGACAGAAGCATTCTCAGAAACTTACTCGTGATGTGTGTCCTCAACTAAAGGAGTAGAACCTTCCTTTTCATAGAGAAGTTTTGAAACGCTCTTTTTGTGGAATCTGCAAGTGGATATTTGGCTAGTTTTGAGGATTTCGTTGGAAGCGGGAATTCATACAAATTGCAGACTGCAGCATTCTCAGAAACTTATTTGAGATGTGTGTACTCAACTAAGAGAATTGAACCACCGTTTTGAAGGAGCAGTTTTGAAACTCTCTTTTTCTGGAATCTGCAAGTGGATATTTGGCTAGCTTTGGGGATTTCGCTGGAAGCGGGAATACATATAAAAAGCACACAGCAGCGTTCGGAGAAACTGCTTTCTGATGTTTGCATTCAAGTCAAAAGTTGAACACTCCCTTTCATAGAGCAGTCTTGAAACACCCCTTTTGTAGTATCTGGAACTGGACTTTTGGAGCGATTTCAGGGCTAAGGTGAAAAAGGAAATATCTTCCCATAAAAACTGGACAGAAGCATTCTCAGAAACTTGTTTATGCTGTATCTACTCAACTAACAAAGTTGAACCTTTCTTTTGATAGAGCAGTTTTGAAATGGTCTTTTTGTGGAATCTGCAAGTGGATATTTGGCTAGTTTTGAGGATTTCGTTGGAAGCGGGAATTCATACAAATTGCAGACTGCAGCGTTCTGAGAAACATCTTTGTGATGTTTGTATTCAGGACACAGAGTTGAACATTCCCTATCATAGAGCAGGTTGGAATCACTCCTTTTGTAGTATCTGGAAGTGGACATTTGGAGCGCTTTCAGGCCTATTTTGGAAAGGGAAATATCTTCCCGTAACAACTATGCAGAAGCATTCTCAGAAACTTGTTTGTGATGTGTGCCCTCTACTGACAGAGTTGAACCTTTCTTTTCATAGAGCAGTTTTGAAACACTCTTTTTGTAGAATCTGCAAGAGGATATTTGCATAGCTTTGAGGATTTCGTGGGAAACGGGATTGTCTTCAGGTAAAATCTAGACAGAAAGCATTCTCAGAAACTTCTTTGGGATGTTTGCATTCAAGTCACAGAGCAGAACATTCCCTTTGGTAGAGCAGGTTTGAAACACTCTTTTTGTAGTATCTGGAAGTGGACATTTGGAGTGCTTTCAGGCCTATGTTGGAAAGGGAAATATCTTCCCGTAACAACTAGGCAGAGCATTCTCAGAAACTTATTTGAGATGTGTGTACTCAACTAAGAGAATTGAACCACCGTTTTGAAGGAGCAGTTGTGAAACACTCTTTTTCTGGAATCTGCTAGAGTATATTTGCCTAGCTTTGAGGATTTCGTTGGAAACGGGATTGTCTTCAGCTCAAATCTAGACAGAAGCATTCTCAGAAACTTCTTTGGGATGTTTGCATTCAAGTCACAGAGTAGAACATTCCTTTGGTAGAGCAGGTTTGAAACACTCTTTTTTTAGTATATGGAAGTGGACATTTGGAGCGCTTTCAGGCCTACGTTGGAAAAGGAAATATCTTCCCATAACAACTAGACAGAAGCATTCTCAGAAACTAGTTTCTGATGTGTGTCCTCAACTAACACAGTTGAACTTTTCTTTAGACAGAACAGTTTTGAAACACTCTTTTTGTGGAATCTGCAAGTGGATATTTGGCTAGATTTGAGGATTTCGTTGGAAACGGGATTACATATAAAAAGCAGACAGCAGCATTCTCAGAAACTTCTTTGTGATGATTGCATTCAAGTCACAGAATTGAACATTCCCTTTCACAGAGCAGGTTTGAAACACTCTTTTTGTAGTGTGTGTAAGTGGACATTTGGAGCGCTTTCCGGCCTAAGGTGAACAAGGAAATATCTTCCCATAAAAACTAGACAGAAGCATTCTCAGAAACTTACTCCGTGATGTGTGTCCTCAACTAAAGGAGTAGAACCTTTCTTTTCATAGAGAAGTTTTGAAACGCTCTTTTTGTGGAATCTGCAAGTGGATATTTGGCTAGTTTTGAGGATTTCGTTGGAAGCGGGAATTCATACAAGATGCAGACTGCAGCATTCTCAGAAACTTATTTGAGATGTGTGTACTCAACTAAGAGAATTGAACCACCGTTTTGAAGGAGCAGTTTTGAAACTCTCTTTTTCTGGAATCTGCAAGTGGATATTTGGCTAGCTTTGGGGATTTCGCTGGAAGCGGGAATACATATAAAAAGCACACAGCAGCGTTCTGAGAAACTGCTTTCTGATGTTTGCATTCAAGTCAAAAGTTGAACACTCCCTTTCATAGAGCAGTCTTGAAACACCCCTTTTGTAGTATCTGGAACTGGACTTTTGGAGCGATTTCAGGGCTAAGGTGAAAAAGGAAATATCTTCCCATAAAAACTGGACAGAAGCATTCTCAGAAACTTGTTTATGCTGTATCTACTCAACTAACAAAGTTGAACCTTTCTTTTGATAGAGCAGTTTTGAAATGGTCTTTTTGTGGAATCTGCAAGTGGATATTTGGCTAGTTTTGAGGATTTCGTTGGAAGCGGGAATTCATACAAATTGCAGACTGCAGCGTTCTGAGAAACATCTTTGTGATGTTTGTATTCAGGACACAGAGTTGAACATTCCCTATCATAGAGCAGGTTTGAATCACTCCTTTTGTAGTATCTGGAAGTGGACATTTGGAGCGCTTTCAGGCCTATGTTGGAAAAGGAAATATCTTCCCATAACAACTAGACAGAAGCATTCTCAGAAACTTATTTGAGATGTGTGTACTCAACTAAGAGAATTGAACCACCGTTTTGAAGGAGCAGTTTTGAAACACTCTTTTTCTGGAATCTGCAAGTGGATATTTGGCTAGCTTTGGGGATTTCGCTGGAAGCGGGAATACATATAAAAAGCACACAGCAGCGTTCTGAGAAACTGCTTTCTGATGTTTGCATTCAAGTCAAAAGTTGAACACTCCCTTTCATAGTGCAGTCCTGAAACACTCCCTTTGTAGTATCTGGAACTGGACTTTTGGAGCGCTTTCAGGGCTAAGGTGAAAAAGGAAATATCTTCCCATAAAAACTGGACAGAAGCATTCTCAGAAACTTGTTTATGCTGTATCTACTCAACTAACAAAGTTGAACCTTTCTTTTGATAGAGCAGTTTTGAAATGCTCTTTTTGTGGAATCTGCAAGTGGATATTTGGCTAGTTTTGAGGATTTCGTTGGAAGCGGGAATTCATACAAATTGCAGACTGCAGCGTTCTGAGAAACATGTTTGTGATGTTTGTATTCAGGACAGAGAGTTGAACATTCCCTATCATAGAGCAGGTTGGAATCACTCCTTTTGTAGTATCTGGAAGTGGACATTTGGAGCGCTTTCAGGCCTATGTTGAAAAAGGAAATATCTTCCCATAACAACTAGACACAAGCATTCTCAGAAACTTGTTTGTGATGTGTGCCCTCTACTGACAGAGTTGAACCTTTCTTTTCATAGAGCAGTTTTGAAACACTCTTTTTGTAGAATCCGCAAGAGGATATTTGCATAGCTTTGAGGATTTCGTGGGAAACGGGATTGTCTTCAGGTAAAATCTAGACAGAAGCATTCTCAGAAACTTCTTTGGGATGTTTGCATTCAAGTCACAGAGTAGAACATTCCCTTTGGTAGAGCAGGTTTCAAACACTCTTTTTGTAGTATCTGGAAGTGGACATTTGGAGCGCTTTCAGGCCCATGTTGGAAAGGGAAATATCTTCCCGTAACAACTAGGCAGAAGCATTCTCAGAAACTTATTTGAGATGTGTGTACTCAACTAAGAGAATTGAACCACCGTTTTGAAGGAGCAGTTTTGAAACACTCTTTTTCTGGAATCTGCAAGAGGATATTTGCCTAGCCTTGAGGATTTCGTTGGAAACGGGATTGTCTTCAGATCAAATCTAGACAGAAGCATTCTCAGAAACTTCTTTGGGATGTTTGCATTCAAGTCACAGAGTAGAACATTCCCTTTGGTAGAGCAGGTTTGAAACACTCTTTTTGTAGTATCTGGAAGTGGACATTTGGAGCGCTTTCAGGCCTATGTTGGAAAGGGAAATATCTTCCCGTAACAACTAGGCAGAAGCATTCTCAGAAACTTATTTGAGATGTGTGTACTCAACTAAGAGAATTGAACCACCGTTTTGAAGGAGCAGTTTTGAAACACTCTTTTTCTGGAATCTGCAAGAGTATATTTGCCTAGCCTTGAGGATTTCGTTGGAAACGGGATTGTCTTCAGAGAAAATCTAGACAGAAGCATTCTCAGAAACTTCTTTGGGATGTTTGCATTCAAGTCACAGAGTAGAACATTCCCTTTGGTAGAGCAGGTTTGAAACACTCTTTTTTTAGTATATGGAAGTGGACATTTGGAGCGCTTTCAGGCCTACGTTGGAAAAGGAAATATCTTCCCATAACAACTAGACAGAAGCATTCTCAGAAACTAGTTTCTGATGTGTGTCCTCAACTAACACAGTTGAACATTTCTTTAGACAGAACAGTTTTGAAACACTCTTTTTGTGGAATCTGCAAGTGGCTATTTGGCTAGATTTGAGGATTTCGTTGGAAACGGGATTACATATAAAAAGCAGTCAGCAGCATTCTCAGAAAGTTCTTTGTCATGATTGCATTCAAGTCACAGAATTGAACATTCCCTTTCACAGAGCAGGTTTGAAACACTCTTTTTGTAGTGTGTGTAAGTGGACATTTGGAGCACTTACCGGCCTAAGGTGAAAAAGGAAATATCTTCCCATAAAAACTAGACAGAAGCATTCTCAGAAACTTACTCGTGATGTGTGTCCTCAACTAAAGGAGTAGAACCTTTCTTTTCATAGAGAAGTTTTGAAACGCTCTTTTTGTGGAATCTGCAAGTGGATATTTGGCTAGTTTTGAGGATTTCGTTGGAAGCGGGAATTCATACAAATTGCAGACTGCAGCGTTCTGAGAAACATCTTTGTGATGTTTGTATTCAGGACACAGAGTTGAACATTCCCTATCATAGAGCAGGTTTGAATCACTCCTTTTGTAGTATCTGGAAGTGGACATTTGGAGCGCTTTCAGGCCTATGTTGGAAAAGGAAATATCTTCCCATAACAACTAGACAGAAAGCATTCTCAGAAACTTATTTGAGATGTGTGTACTCAACTAAGAGAATTGAACCACCGTTTTGAAGGAGCAGTTTTGAAACTCTCTTTTTCTGGAATCTGCAAGTGGATATTTGGCTAGCTTTGGGGATTTCGCTGGAAGCGGGAATACATATAAAAAGCACACAGCAGCGTTCTGAGAAACTGCTTTCTGATGTTTGCATTCAAGTCAAAAGTTGAACACTCCCTTTCATAGAGCAGTCCTGAAACACCCCTTTTGTAGTATCTGGAACTGGACTTTTGGAGCGATTTCAGGGCTAAGGTGAAAAAGGAAATATCTTCCCATAAAAACTGGACAGAAGCATTCTCAGAAACTTGTTTATGCTGTATCTACTCAACTAACAAAGTTGAACCTTTCTTTTGATAGAGCAGTTTTGAAATGCTCTTTTTGTGGAATCTGCAAGTGGATATTTGGCTAGTTTTGAGGATTTGGTTGGAAGCGGGAATTCATACAAATTGCAGACTGCAGCGTTCTGAGAAACATCTTTGTGATGTTTGTATTCAGGACAGAGAGTTGAACATTCCCTATCATAGAGCAGGTTGGAATCACTCCTTTTGTAGTATCTGGAAGTGGACATTTGGAGCGCTTTCAGGCCTATGTTGAAAAAGGAAATATCTTCCCATAACAACTAGACACAAGCATTCTCAGAAACTTGTTTGTGATGTGTGCCCTCTACTGACAGAGTTGAACCTTTCTTTTCATAGAGCAGTTTTGAAACACTCTTTTTGTAGAATCTGCAAGAGGATATTTGCATAGCTTTGAGGATTTCGTGGGAAACGGGATTGTCTTCAGGTAAAATCTAGACAGAAGCATTCTCAGAAACTTCTTTGGGATGTTTGCATTCAAGTCACAGAGTAGAACATTCCCTTTGGTAGAGCAGGTTTGAAACACTCTTTTTGTAGTATCTGGAAGTGGACATTTGGAGCGCTTTCAGGCCCATGTTGGAAAGGGAAATATCTTCCCGTAACAACTAGGCAGAAGCATTCTCAGAAACTTATTTGAGATGTGTGTACTCAACTAAGAGAATTGAACCACCGTTTTGAAGGAGCAGTTTTGAAACACTCTTTTTCTGGAATCTGCAAGAGTATATCTTCCTAGCTTTGTGGATTTCGTTGGAAACGGGATTGTCTTCAGATAAAATCTAGACAGAAGCATTCTCAGAAACTTCTTTGGGATGTTTGCATTCAAGTCACAGAGTAGAACATTCTCTTTGGTAGAGCAGGTTTGAAACACTCTTTTTTTAGTATATGGAAGTGGACATTTTGATCGCTTTCAGGCCTACGTTGGAAAAGGAAATATCTTCCCATAACAACTAGACAGAAGCATTCTCAGAAACTAGTTTCTGATGTGTGTCCTCAACTAACACAGTTGAACATTTCTTTAGACAGAACAGTTTTGAAACACTCTTTTTGTGGAATCTGCAAGTGGCTATTTGGCTAGATTTGAGGATTTCGTTGGAAACGGGATTACATATAAAAAGCAGTCAGCAGCATTCTCAGAAAGTTCTTTGTGATGATTGCATTCAAGTCACAGAATTGAACATTCCCTTTCACAGAGCAGGTTTGAAACACTCTTTTTGTAGTGTGTGTAAGTGGACATTTGGAGCACTTACCGGCCTAAGGTGAAAAAGGAAATAATCTTCCCATAAAAACTAGACAGAAGCATTCTCAGAAACTTACTCGTGATGTGTGTCCTCAACTAAAGGAGTAGAACCTTTCTTTTCATAGAGAAGTTTTGAAACGCTCTTTTTGTGGAATCTGCAAGTGGATATTTGGCTAGTTTTGAGGATTTCGTTGGAAGCGGGAATTCATACAAATTGCAGACTGCAGCGTTCTGAGAAACATCTTTGTGATGTTTGTATTCAGGACACAGAGATGAACATTCCCTATCATAGAGCAGGTTGGAATCACTCCTTTTGTAGTATCTGGAAGTGGACATTTGGAGCGCTTTCAGGCCTAT
The DNA here is from genome assembly GCF_000001405.40 of Homo sapiens. NCBI lineage: Eukaryota > Metazoa > Chordata > Mammalia > Primates > Hominidae > Homo > Homo sapiens. Next base: position 19,081,464 of record NC_000018.10, read on the forward strand.
GTTGAAAAAGGAAATATCTTCCCATAACAACTAGACACATAAGCATTCTCAGAAAACTTATTTGAGATGTGTGTACTCAACTAAGAGAATTGAACCACCGTTTTGAAGGAGCAGTTTTGAAACTCTCTTTTTCTGGAATCTGCAAGTGGATATTTGGCTAGCTTTGGGGATTTCGCTGGAAGCGGGAATACATATAAAAAGCACACAGCAGCGTTCTGAGAAACTGCTTTCTGATGTTTGCATTCAAGTCAAAAGTTGAACACTCCCTTTCATAGAGCAGTCTTGAAACACCCCTTTTGTAGTATCTGGAACTGGACTTTTGGAGCGATTTCAGGGCTAAGGTGAAAAAGGAAATATCTTCCCATAAAAACTGGACAGAAGCATTCTCAGAAACTTGTTTATGCTGTATCTACTCAACTAACAAAGTTGAACCTTTCTTTTGATAGAGCAGTTTTGAAATGGTCTTTTTGTGGAATCTGCAAGTGGATATTTGGCTAGTTTTGAGGATTTCGTTGGAAGCGGGAATTCATACAAATTGCAGACTGCAGCGTTCTGAGAAACATCTTTGTGATGTTTGTATTCAGGACAGAGAGTTGAACATTCCCTATCATAGAGCAGGTTGGAATCACTCCTTTTGTAGTATCTGGAAGTGGACATTTGGAGCGCTTTCAGGCCTATGTTGAAAAAGGAAATATCTTCCCATAACAACTAGACACAAGCATTCTCAGAAACTTGTTTGTGATGTGTGCCCTCTACTGACAGAGTTGAACCTTTCTTTTCATAGAGCAGTTTTGAAACACTCTTTTTGTAGAATCTGCAAGAGGATATTTGCATAGCTTTGAGGATTTCGTGGGAAACGGGATTGTCTTCAGGTAAAATCTAGACAGAAGCATTCTCAGAAACTTCTTTGGGATGTTTGCATTCAAGTCACAGAGTAGAACATTCCCTTTGGTAGAGCAGGTTTCAAACACTCTTTTTGTAGTATCTGGAAGTGGACATTTGGAGCGCTTTCAGGCCTATGTTGGAAAGGGAAATATCTTCCCGTAACAACTAGGCAGAAGCATTCTCAGAAACTTATTTGAGATGTGTGTACTCAACTAAGAGAATTGAACCACCGTTTTGAAGGAGCAGTTTTGAAACACTCTTTTTCTGGAATCTGCAAGAGGATATTTGCCTAGCCTTGAGGATTTCGTTGGAAACGGGATTGTCTTCAGATCAAATCTAGACAGAAGCATTCTCAGAAACTTCTTTGGGATGTTTGCATTCATGTCACAGAGTAGAACATTCCCTTTGGTAGAGCAGGTTTGAAACACTCTTTTTTAAGTATATGGAAGTGGACATTTGGAGCGCTTTCAGGCCTACGTTGTAAAAGGAAATATCTTCCCATAACAACTAGACAGAAGCATTCTCAGAAACTAGTTTCTGATGTGTGTCCTCAACTAACACAGTTGAACATTTCTTTAGACAGAACAGTTTTGAAACACTCTTTTTGTGGAATCTGCAAGTGGCTATTTGGCTAGATTTGAGGATTTCGTTGGAAACGGGATTACATATAAAAAGCAGACAGCAGCATTCTCAGAAAGTTCTTTGTGATGATTGCATTCAAGTCACAGAATTGAACATTCCCTTTCACAGAGCAGGTTTGAAACACTCTTTTTGTAGTGTGTGTAAGTGGACATTTGGAGCACTTTCCGGCCTAAGGTGAAAAAGGAAATATCTTCCCATAAAAACTAGACAGAAGCATTCTCAGAAACTTACTCGTGATGTGTGTCCTCAACTAAATGAGTAGAACCTTTCTTTTCATAGAGAAGTTTTGAAACGCTCTTTTTGTGGAATCTGCAAGTGGATATTTGGCTAGTTTGGAGGATTTCGTTGGAAGCGGGAATTCATACAAATTGCAGACTGCAGCGTTCTGAGAAACATCTTTGTGATGTTTGTATTCAGGACACAGAGTTGAACGTTCCCTATCATAGAGCAGGTTTGAATCACTCCTTTTGTAGTATCTGGAAGTGGACATTTGGAGCGCTTTCCGGCCTCAGGTGAAAAAGGAAATATCTTCCCATAAAAACTAGACAGAAGCATTCTCAGAAACTTATTTGAGATGTGTGTACTCAACTAAGAGAATTGAACCACCGTTTTGAAGGAGCAGTTTTGAAACACTCTTTTTCTGGAATCTGCAAGTGGATATTTGGCTAGCTTTGGGGATTTCGCTGGAAGCGGGAATACATATAAAAAGCACACAGCAGCGTTCTGAGAAACTTCTTTCTGATGTTCGCATTCAAGTCAAAAGTTGAACACTCCCTTTCATAGAGCAGTCTTGAAACTCCCCTTTTGTGGTATCTGGAAGTGGACATTTGGAGTGCTTTCAGGGCTAAGGTGAAAAAGGAAATATCTTCCCATAAAAACTGGACAGAAGCATTCTCAGAAACTTGTTTATGCTGTATCTACTCAACTAACAAAGTTGAACCTTTCTTTTGATAGAGCAGTTTTGAAATGCTCTTTTTGTGGAGTCTGCAAGTGGATATTTGGTTAGTTTTGAGGATTTCTTTGGAAGCGGGAATTCATACAAATTGCAGACTGCAGCGTTCTGAGAAACATCTTTGTGATGTTTGTATTCAGGACACAGAGATGAACATTCCCTATCATAGAGCAGGTTGGAATCACTCCTTTTGTAGTATCTGGAAGTGGACATTTGGAGCGCTTTCAGGCCTATGTTGAAAAAGGAAATATCTTCCCATAACAACTAGACACAAGCATTCTCAGAAACTTGTTTGTGATGTGTGCCCTCTGCTGACAGAGTTGAACCTTTCTTTTCATAGAGCAGTTTTGAAACACTCTTTTTGTAGAATCTGCAAGAGGATATTTGCATAGCTTTGAGGATTTCGTGGGAAACGGGATTGTCTTCAGGTAAAATCTAGACAGAAGCATTCTCAGAAACTTCTTTGGGATGTTTGCATTCAAGTCACAGAGTAGAACATTCCCTTTGGTAGAGCAGGTTTGAAACCCTCTTTTTGTAGTATCTGGAAGTGGACATTTGGAGCGCTTTCAGGCCCATGTTGGAAAGGGAAATATCTTCCCGTAACAACTAGGCAGAAGCATTCTCAGAAACTTATTTGAGATGTGTGTACTCAACTAAGAGAATTGAACCACCGTTTTGAAGGAGCAGTTTTGAAACACTCTTTTTCTGGAATCTGCAAGTGGATATTTGGCTAGCTTTGGGGATTTCGCTGGAAGCGGGAATACATATAAAAAGCACACAGCAGCGTTCTGAGAAACTGCTTTCTGATGTTTGCATTCAAGTCAAAAGTTGAACACTCCCTTTCATACAGCAGTCTTGAAACACCCCTTTTGTAGTATCTGGAACTGGACTTTTGGAATTCTTTCAGGGCTAAGGTGAAAAAGGAAATATCTTCCCATAAAAACTGGACAGAAGCATTCTCAGAAACTTGTTTATGCTGTATTTACTCAACTAACAAGGTTGAACCTTTCTTTTGATAGAGCAGTTTTGAAATGCTCTTTTTGTGGAATCTGCAAGTGGATATTTGGCTAGGTTTGAGGATTTCGTTGGAAGCGGGAATTCATACAAATTGCAGACTGCCAGCGTTCTGAGAAACATCTTTGTGATGTTTGTATTCAGGACACAGAGTTGAACATTCCCTATCATAGAGCAGGTTTGAATCACTCCTTTTGTAGTATCTGGAAGTGGACATTTGGAGCGCTTTCAGGCCTATGTTGGAAAAGGAAATATCTTCCCATAACAACTAGACAGAGCATTCTCAGAAACTTATTTGAGATGTGTGTACTCAACTAAGAGAATTGAACCACCGTTTTGAAGGAGCAGTTTTGAAACACTCTTTTTCTGGAATCTGCAAGTGGATATTTGGCTAGCTTTGGGGATTTCGCTGGAAGCGGGAATACATATAAAAAGCACACAGCAGCGTTCTGAGAAACTGCTTTCTGATGTTTGCATTCAAGTCAAAAGTTGAACACTCCCTTTCATAGAGCAGTCCTGAAACACCCCTTTTGTAGTATCTGGAACTGGACTTTTGGAGCGATTTCAGGGCTAAGGTGAAAAAGGAAATATCTTCCCATAAAAACTGGACAGAAGCATTCTCAGAAACTTGTTTATGCTGTATCTACTCAACTAACAAAGTTGAACCTTTCTTTTGATAGAGCAGTTTTGAAATGCTCTTTTTGTGGAATCTGCAAGTGGATATTTGGCTAGTTTTGAGGATTTCGTTGGAAGCGGGAATTCATACAAATTGCAGACTGCAGCGTTCTGAGAAACATCTTTGTGATGTTTGTATTCAGGACAGAGAGTTGAACATTCCCTATCATAGAGCAGGTTGGAATCACTCCTTTTGTAGTATCTGGAAGTGGACATTTGGAGCGCTTTCTGGCCTATGTTGAAAAAGGAAATATCTTCCCATAACAACTAGACACAAGCATTCTCAGAAACTTGTTTGCGATGTGTGCCCTCTACTGACAGAGTTGAACCTTTCTTTTCATAGAGCAGTTTTGAAACACTCTTTTTGTAGAATCTGCAAGAGGATATTTGCATAGCTTTGAGGATTTCGTGGGAAACGGGATTGTCTTCAGGTAAAATCTAGACAGAAGCATTCTCAGAAACTTCTTTGGGATGTTTGCATTCAAGTCACAGAGTAGAACATTCCCTTTGGTAGAGCAGGTTTGAAACACTCTTTTTGTAGTATCTGGAAGTGGACATTTGGAGCGCTTTCAGGCCTATGTTGGAAAGGGAAATATCTTCCGGTAACAACTAGGCAGAAGCATTCTCAGAAACTTATTTGAGATGTGTGTACTCAACTAAGAGAATTGAACCACCGTTTTGAAGGAGCAGTTTTGAAACACTCTTTTTCTGGAATCTGCAAGAGGATATTTGCCTAGCTTTGAGGATTTCGTTGGAAACGGGATTGTGTTCAGATCAAATCTAGACAGAAGCATTCTCAGAAACTTCTTTGGGATGTTTGCATTCAAGTCACAGAGTAGAACATTCCCTTTGGTAGAGCAGGTGTGAAACACTCTTTTTTTAGTATATGGAAGTGGACATTTGGAGCGCTTTCAGGCCTACGTTGGAAAACGAAATATCTTCCCATAACAACTAGACAGAAGCATTCTCAGAAACTAGTTTCTGATGTGTGTCCTCAACTAACACAGTTGAACATTTCTTTAGACAGAACAGTTTTGAAACTCTCTTTTTGTGGAATCTGCAAGTGGCTATTTGGCTAGATTTGAGGATTTCGTTGGAAACGGGATTACATATAAAAAGCAGACAGCAGCATTCTCAGAAAGTTCTTTGTGATGATTGCATTCAAGTCACAGAATTGAACATTCCCTTTCACAGAGCAGGTTTGAAACACTCTTTTTGTAGTGTGTGTAAGTGGACATTTGGAGCACTTTCCGGCCTAAGGTGAAAAAGGGAAATATCTTCCCATAAAAACTAGACAGAAGCATTCTCAGAAACTTACTCGTGATGTGTGTCCTCAACTAAAGGAGTAGAACCTTTCTTTTCATAGAGAAGTTTTGAAACGCTCTTTTTGTGGAATCTGCAAGTGGATATTTGGCTAGTTTGGAGGATTTCGTTGGAAGCGGGAATTCATACAAATTGCAGACTGCAGCGTTCTGAGAAACATCTTTGTGATGTTTGTATTCAGGACACAGAGTTGAACATTCCCTATCATAGAGCAGGTTGGAATCACTCCTTTTGTAGTATCTGGAAGTGGACATTTGGAGCGCTTTCAGGCCTATGTTGGAAAAGGAAATATCTTCCCATAACAAGTAGACAGAAGCATTCTCAGAAACTTATTTGAGATGTGTGTACTCAACTAAGAGAATTGAACCACCGTTTTGAAGGAGCAGTTTTGAAACACTCTTTTTCTGGAATCTGCAAGTGGATATTTGGCTAGCTTTGGGGACTTCGCTGGAGGCGGGAATACATATAAAAAGCACACAGCAGCGTTCTGAGAAACTGCTTTCTGATGTTTGCATTCAAGTCAAAAGTTGAACACTCCCTTTCATAGAGCAGTCTTGAAACACCCCTTTTGTAGTATCTGGAACTGGACTTTTGGAGCGATTTCAGGGCTAAGGTGAAAAAGGAAATATCTTCCCATAAAAACTGGACAGAAGCATTCTCAGAAACTTGGTTATGCTGTATCTACTCAACTAACAAAGTTGAACCTTTCTTTTGATAGAGCAGTTTTGAAATGGTCTTTTTGTGGAATCTGCAAGTGGATATTTGGCTAGTTTTGAGGATTTCGTTGGAAGCGGGAATTCATACAAATTGCAGACTGCAGCGTTCTGAGAAACATCTTTGTGATGTTTGTATTCAGGACACAGAGTTGAACATTCCCTATCATAGAGCAGGTTTGAATCACTCCTTTTGTAGTATCTGGAAGTGGAAATTTGGAGCGCTTTCAGGCCTATGTTGGAAAAGGAAATATCTTCCCATAACAACTAGACAGAAGCATTCTCAGAAACTTATTTGAGATGTGTGTACTCAACTAAGAGAATTGAACCACCGTTTTGAAGGAGCAGTTTTGAAACACTCTTTTTCTGGAATCTGCAAGTGGATATTTGGCTAGCTTTGGGGATTTCGCTGGAAGCGGGAATACATATAAAAAGCACACAGCAGCGTTCTGAGAAACTGCTTTCTGATGTTTGCATTCAAGTCAAAAGTTGAACACTCCCTTTCATAGAGCAGTCTTGAAACACCCCTTTTGTAGTATCTGGAACTGGACTTTTGGAGCGATTTCAGGGCTAAGGTGAAAAAGGAAATATCTTCCCATAAAAACTGGACAGAAGCATTCTCAGAAACTTGTTTATGCTGTATCTACTCAACTAACAAAGTTGAACCTTTCTTTTGATAGAGCAGTTTTGAAATGGTCTTTTTGTGGAATCTGCAAGTGGATATTTGGCTAGTTTTGAGGATTTCGTTGGAAGCGGGAATTCATACAAATTGCAGACTGCAGCGTTCTGAGAAACATCTTTGTGATGTTTGTATTCAGGACACAGAGTTGAACATTCCCTATCATAGAGCAGGTTGGAATCACTCCTTTTGTAGTATCTGGAAGTGGACATTTGGAGCGCTTTCAGGCCTATTTTGGAAAGGGAAATATCTTCCCGTAACAACTATGCAGAAGCATTCTCAGAAACTTGTTTGTGATGTGTGCCCTCTACTGACACAGTTGAACCTTTCTTTTCATAGAGCAGTTTCGAAACACTCTTTTTGTAGAATCTGCAAGAGGATATTTGCATAGCTTTGAGGATTTCGTGGGAAACGGGATTGTCTTCAGGTAAAATCTAGACAGAAGCATTCTCAGAAACTTCTTTGGGATGTTTGCATTCAAGTCACAGAGTAGAACATTCCCTTTGGTAGAGCAGGTTTGAAACACTCTTTTTGTAGTGTGTGTAAGTGGACATTTGGAGCGCTTTCTGGCCTACGTTGGAAAAGGAAATATCTTCCCATAACAACTAGACAGAAGCATTCTCAGAAACTAGTTTCTGATGTGTGTCCTCAACTAACACAGTTGAACATTTCTTTAGACAGAACAGTTTTGAAACACTCTTTTTGTGGAATCTGCAAGTGGATATTTGGCTAGATTTGAGGATTTCGTTGGAAACGGGATTACATATAAAAAGCAGACAGCAGCATTCTCAGAAACTTCTTTGTGATGATTGCATTCAAGTCACAGAATTGTACATTCCCTTTCACAGAGCAGGTTTGAAACACTCTTTTTGTAGTGTGTGTAAGTGGACATTTGGAGCGCTTTCCGGCCTAAGGTGAACAAGGAAATATCTTCCCATAAAAACTAGACAGAAGCATTCTCAGAAACTTACTCGTGATGTGTGTCCTCAACTAAAGGAGTAGAACCTTTCTTTTCATAGAGAAGTTTTGAAACGCTCTTTTTGTGGAATCTGCAAGTGGATATTTGGCTAGTTTGGAGGATTTCGTTGGAAGCGGGAATTCATACAAGATGCAGACTGCAGCGTTCTGAGAAACATCTTTGTGATGTTTGTATTCAGGACACAGAGTTGAACATTCCCTATCATAGAGCAGGTTTGAATCACTCCTTTTGTAGTATCTGGAAGTGGACATTTGGAGCGCTTTCAGGCCTATGTTGGAAAAGGAAATATCTTCCCATAACAACTAGACAGAAGCATTCCCAGAAACTTATTTGAGATGTGTGTACTTAACTAAGAGAATTGAACCACCGTTTTGAAGGAGCAGTTTGGAAACACTCTTTTTCTGGAATCTGCAAGTGGATATTTGGCTAGCTTTGGGGATTTCGCTGGAAGCGGGAATACATATAAAAAGCACACAGCAGCGTTCTGAGAAACTGCTTTCTGATGTTTGCATTCAAGTCAAAAGTTGAACACTCCCTTTCATAGAGCAGTCTTGAAACACCCCTTTTGTAGTATCTGGAACTGGAAATTTGGAGCGCTTTCAGGGCTAAGGTGAAAAAGGAAATATCTTCCCATAAAAACTGGACAGAAGCATTCTCAGAAACTTGTTTATGCTGTATCTACTCAACTAACAAAGTTGAACCTTTCTTTTGATAGAGCAGTTTTGAAATGCTCTTTTTGTGGAATCTGCAAGTGGATATTTGGCTAGTTTTGAGGATTTCGTTGGAAGCGGGAATTCATACAAATTGCAGACTGCAGCGTTCTGAGAAACATCTTTGTGATGTTTGTATTCAGGACAGAGAGTTGAACATTCCCTATCATAGAGCAGGTTGGAATCACTCCTTTTGTAGTATCTGGAAGTGGACATTTGGAGCGCTTTCAGGCCTATGTTGAAAAAGGAAATATCTTCCCATAACAACTAGACACAAGCATTCTCAGAAACTTGTTTGTGATGTGTGCCCTCTACTGACAGAGTTGAACCTTTCTTTTCATAGAGCAGTTTTGAAACACTCTTTTTGTAGAATCCGCAAGAGGATATTTGCATAGCTTTGAGGATTTCGTGGGAAACGGGATTGTCTTCAGGTAAAATCTAGACAGAAGCATTCTCAGAAACTTCTTTGGGATGTTTGCATTCAAGTCACAGAGTAGAACATTCCCTTTGGTAGAGCAGGTTTGAAACACTCTTTTTGTAGTATCTGGAAGTGGACATTTGGAGCGCTTTCAGGCCCATGTTGGAAAGGGAAATATCTTCCCGTAACAACTAGGCAGAAGCATTCTCAGAAACTTATTTGAGATGTGTGTACTCAACTAAGAGAATTGAACCACCGTTTTGAAGGAGCAGTTTTGAAACACTCTTTTTCTGGAATCTGCTAGACGATATTTGCCTAGCCTTGAGGATTTCGTTGGAAACGGGATTGTCTTCAGATAAAATCTAGACAGAAGCATTCTCAGAAACTTCTTTGGGATGTTTGCATTCAAGTCACAGAGTAGAACATTCCCTTTGGTAGAGCAGGTGTGAAACACTCTTTTTTTAGTATATGGAAGTGGACATTTGGAGCGCTTTCAGGCCTACGTTGGAAAACGAAATATCTTCCCATAACAACTAGACAGAAGCATTCTCAGAAACTAGTTTCTGATGTGTGTCCTCAACTAACACAGTTGAACATTTCTTTAGACAGAACAGTTTTGAAACACTCTTTTTGTGGAATCTGCAAGTGGCTATTTGGCTAGATTTGAGGATTTCGTTGGAAACGGGATTACATATAAAAAGCAGTCAGCAGCATTCTCAGAAAGTTCTTTGTGATGATTGCATTCAAGTCACAGAATTGAACATTCCCTTTCACAGAGCAGGTTTGAAACACTCTTTTTGTAGTGTGTGTAAGTGGACATTTGGAGCACTTACCGGCCTAAGGTGAAAAAGGAAATATCTTCCCATAAAAACTAGACAGAAGCATTCTCAGAAACTTACTCGTGATGTGTGTCCTCAACTAAAGGAGTAGAACCTTTCTTTTCATAGAGAAGTTTTGAAACGCTCTTTTTGTGGAATCTGCAAGTGGATATTTGGCTAGTTTTGAGGATTTCGTTGGAAGCGGGAATTCATACAAATTGCAGACTGCAGCGTTCTGAGAAACATCTTTGTGATGTTTGTATTCAGGACACAGAGTTGAACATTCCCTATCATAGAGCAGGTTTGAATCACTCCTTTTGTAGTATCTGGAAGTGGACATTTGGAGCGCTTTCAGGCCTATGTTGGAAAAGGAAATATCTTCCCATAACAACTAGACAGAAGCATTCTCAGAAACTTATTTGAGATGTGTGTACTCAACTAAGAGAATTGAACCACCGTTTTGAAGGAGCAGTTTTGAAACACTCTTTTTCTGGAATCTGCAAGTGGATATTTGGCTAGCTTTGGGGATTTCGCTGGAAGCGGGAATACATATAAAAAGCACACAGCAGCGTTCTGAGAAACTGCTTTCTGATGTTTGCATTCAAGTCAAAAGTTGAACACTCCCTTTCATAGTGCAGTCTGAAACACTCCTTTTGTAGTATCTGGAACTGGACTTTTGGAGCGCTTTCAGGGCTAAGGTGAAAAAGGAAATATCTTCCCATAAAAACTGGACAGAAGCATTCTCAGAAACTTGTTTATGCTGTATCTACTCAACTAACAAAGTTGAACCTTTCTTTTGATAGAGCAGTTTTGAAATGCTCTTTTTGTGGAATCTGCAAGTGGATATTTGGCTAGTTTTGAGGATTTCGTTGGAAGCGGGAATTCATACAAATTGCAGACTGCAGCGTTCTGAGAAACATCTTTGTGATGTTTGTATTCAGGACAGAGAGTTGAACATTCCCTATCATAGAGCAGGTTGGAATCACTCCTTTTGTAGTATCTGGAAGTGGACATTTGGAGCGCTTTCAGGCCTATGTTGAAAAAGGAAATATCTTCCCATAACAACTAGACACAAGCATTCTCAGAAACTTGTTTGTGATGTGTGCCCTCTACTGACAGAGTTGAACCTTTCTTTTCATAGAGCAGTTTTGAAACACTCTTTTTGTAGAATCTGCAAGAGGATATTTGCATAGCTTTGAGGATTTCGTGGGAAACGGGATTGTCTTCAGGTAAAATCTAGACAGAAGCATTCTCAGAAACTTCTTTGGGATGTTTGCATTCAAGTCACAGAGTAGAACATTCCCTTTGGTAGAGCAGGTTTGAAACACTCTTTTTGTAGTATCTGGAAGTGGACATTTGGAGCGCTTTCAGGCCTATGTTGGAAAGGGAAATATCTTCCCGTAACAACTAGGCAGAAGCATTCTCAGAAACTTATTTGAGATGTGTGTACTCAACTAAGAGAATTGAACCACCGTTTTGAAGGAGCAGTTTTGAAACACTCTTTTTCTGGAATCTGCAAGAGGATATTTGCCTAGCCTTGAGGATTTCGTTGGAAACGGGATTGTCTTCAGATCAAATCTAGACAGAAGCATTCTCAGAAACTTCTTTGGGATGTTTGCATTCAAGTCACAGAGTAGAACATTCCCTTTGGTAGAGCAGGTTTGAAACACTCTTTTTTAAGTATATGGAAGTGGACATTTGGAGCGCTTTCAGGCCTACGTTGGAAAAGGAAATATCTTCCCATAACAACTAGACAGAAGCATTCTCAGAAACTAGTTTCTGATGTGTGTCCTCAACTAACACAGTTGAACATTTCTTTAGACAGAACAGTTTTGAAACTCTCTTTTTGTGGAATCTGCAAGTGGCTATTTGGCTAGATTTGAGGATTTCGTTGGAAACGGGATTACATATAAAAAGCAGACAGCAGCATTCTCAGAAAGTTCTTTGTGATGATTGCATTCAAGTCACAGAATTGAACATTCCCTTTCACAGAGCAGGTTTGAAACACTCTTTTTATAGTGTGTGTAAGTGGACATTTGGAGCACTTTCCGGCCTAAGGTGAAAACGGAAATATCTTCCCATAAAAACTAGACAGAAGCATTCTCAGAAACTTACTCGTGATGTGTGTCCTCAACTAAAGGAGTAGAACCTTTCTTTTCATAGAGAAGTTTTGAAACGCTCTTTTTGTGGAATCTGCAAGTGGATATTTGGCTAGTTTGGAGGATTTCGTTGGAAGCGGGAATTCATACAAATTGCAGACTGCAGCGTTCTGAGAAACATCTTTGTGATGTTTGTATTCAGGACACAGAGTTGAACATTCCCTATCATAGAGCAGGTTTGAATCACTCCTTTTCTATTATCTGGAAGTGGACATTTGGAGCGCTTTCAGGCCTATGTTGGAAAAGGAAATATCTTCCCATAACAACTAGACAGAAGCATTCTCAGAAACTTATTTGAGATGTGTGTAGTCAACTAAGAGAATTGAACCACCGTTTTGAAGGAGCAGTTTTGAAACACTCTTTTTCTGGAATCTGCAAGTGGATATTTGGCTAGCTTTGGGGATTTCGCTGGAAGCGGGAATACATATAAAAAGCACACAGCAGCGTTCTGAGAAACTGCTTTCTGATGTTTGCATTCAAGTCAAAAGTTGAACACTCCTTTTCATAGAGCAGTCTTGAAATACCCCTTTTGTAGTATCTGGAACTGGACATTTGGAGCGCTTTCAGGGCTAAGGTGAAAAAGGAAATATCTTCCCATAAAAACTGGACAGAAGCATTCTCAGAAACTTGTTTATGCTGTATCTACTCAACTAACAAAGTTGAACCTTTCTTTTGATAGAGCAGTTTTGAAATGGTCTTTTTGTGGAATCTGCAAGTGGATATTTGGCTAGTTTTGAGGATTTCGTTGGAAGCGGGAATTCATACAAATTGCAGACTGCAGCGTTCTGAGAAACATCTTTGTGATGTTTGTATTCAGGACACAGAGTTGAACATTCCCTATCATAGAGCAGGTTGGAATCACTCCTGTTGTAGTATCTGGAAGTGGACATTTGGAGCGCTTTCAGGCATATGTTGAAAAAGGAAATATCTTCCCATAACAACTAGACAGAAGCATTCTCAGAAACTTGTTTGTGATGTGTGCCCTCTACTGACAGAGTTGAACCTTTCTTTTCATAGAGCAGTTTTGAAACACTCTTTTTGTAGAATCTGCAAGAGGATATTTGCATAGCTTTGAGGATTACGTGGGAAACGGGATAGTCTTCAGGTAAAATCTAGACAGAAGCATTCTCAGAAACTTCTTTGGGATGTTTGCATTCAAGTCACAGAGTAGAACATTCCCTTTGGTAGAGTAGGTTTGAAACACTCTTTTTGTAGTATCTGGAAGTGGACATTTGGAGCGCTTTCAGGCCTATGTTGGAAAGGGAAATATCTTCCCGTAACAACTAGGCAGAAGCATTCTCAGAAACTTATTTGAGATGTGTGTACTCAACTAAGAGAATTGAACCACCGTTTTGAAGGAGCAGTTTTGAAACACTCTTTTTCTGGAATCTGCAAGAGGATATTTGCCTAGCCTTGAGGATTTCGTTGGAATCGGGATTGTCTTCAGATCAAATCTAGACAGAAGCATTCTCAGAAACTTCTTTGGGATGTTTGCATTCAAGTCACAGAGTAGAACATTCCCTTTGGTAGAGCAGGTTTGAAACACTCTTTTTTTAGTATATGGAAGTGGACATTTGGAGCGCTTTCAGGCCTACGTTGGAAAAGGAAATATCTTCCCATAACAACTAGACAGAAGCATTCTCAGAAACTTATTTGAGATGTGTGTACTCAACTAAGAGAATTGAACCACCGTTTTGAAGGAGCAGTTTTGAAACACTCTTTTTCTGGAATCTGCAAGTGGATATTTAGCTAGATTTGAGGATTTCGTTGGAAACGGGATTACATATACAAAGCAGACAGCAGCGTTCTGAGAAACTGCTTTCTGATGTTTGCATTCAAGTCAAAAGTTGAACACTCCCTTTCATAGAGCAGTCTTGAAACACCCCTTTTGTAGTATCTGGAACTGGACTTTTGGAGCGATTTCAGGGCTAAGGTGAAAAAGGAAATATCTTCCCATAAAAACTGGACAGAAGCATTCTCAGAAACTTGGTTATGCTGTATCTACTCAACTAACAAAGTTGAACCTTTCTTTTGATAGAGCAGTTTTGAAATGGTCTTTTTGTGGAATCTGCAAGTGGATATTTGGCTAGTTTTGAGGATTTCGTTGGAAGCGGGAATTCATACAAATTGCAGACTGCAGCGTTCTGAGAAACATCTTTGTGATGTTTGTATTCAGGACAGAGAGTTGAACATTCCCTATCATAGAGCAGGTTGGAATCACTCCTTTTGTAGTATCTGGAAGTGGACATTTGGAGCGCTTTCAGGCCTATGTTGAAAAAGGAGATATCTTCCCATAACAACTAGACACAAGCATTCTCAGAAACTTGTTTGTGATGTGTGCCCTCTACTGACAGAGTTGAACCTTTCTTTTCATAGAGCAGTTTTGAAACACTCTTTTTGTAGAATCTGCAAGAGGATATTTGCATAGCTTTGAGGATTTCGTGGGAAACGGGATTGTCTTCAGGTAAAATCTAGACAGAAGCATTCTCAGAAACTTCTTTGGGGATGTTTGCATTCAAGTCACAGAGTAGAACATTCCCTTTGGTAGAGCAGGTTTGAAACACTCTTTTTGTAGTATCTGGAAGTGGACATTTGGAGCGCTTTCAGGCCCATGTTGGAAAGGGAAATATCTTCCCGTAACAACTAGGCAGAAGCATTCTCAGAAACTTATTTGAGATGTGTGTACTCAACTAAGAGAATTGAACCACCGTTTTGAAGGAGCAGTTTTGAAACACTCTTTTTCTGGAATCTGCAAGAGTATATTTGCCTAGCCTTGAGGATTTCGTTGGAAACGGGATTGTCTTCAGAGAAAATCTAGACAGAAGCATTCTCAGAAACTTCTTTGGGATGTTTGCATTCAAGTCACAGAGTAGAACATTCCCTTTGGTAGAGCAGGTTTGAAACACTCTTTTTTTAGTATATGGAAGTGGACATTTGGATCGCTTTCAGGCCTACGTTGGAAAAGGAAATATCTTCCCATAACAACTAGACAGAAGCATTCTCAGAAACTAGTTTCTGATGTGTGTCCTCAACTAACACAGTTGAACATTTCTTTAGACAGAACAGTTTTGAAACACTCTTTTTGTGGAATCTGCAAGTGGCTATTTGGCTAGATTTGAGGATTTCGTTGGAAACGGGATTACATATAAAAAGCAGTCAGCAGCATTCTCAGAAAGTTCTTTGTGATGATTGCATTCAAGTCACAGAATTGAACATTCCCTTTCACAGAGCAGGTTTGAAACACTCTTTTTGTAGTATATGGAAGTGGACATTTGGATCGCTTTCAGGCCTACGTTGGAAAAGGAAATATCTTCCCATAACAACTAGACAGAAGCATTCTCAGAAACTAGTTTCTGATGTGTGTCCTCAACTAACACAGTTGAACATTTCTTTAGACAGAACAGTTTTGAAACACTCTTTTTGTGGAATCTGCAAGTGGCTATTTGGCTAGATTTGAGGATTTCGTTGGAAACGGGATTACATATAAAAAGCAGTCAGCAGCATTCTCAGAAAGTTCTTTGTGATGATTGCATTCAAGTCACAGAATTGAACATTCCCTTTCACAGAGCAGGTTTGAAACACTCTTTTTGTAGTGTGTGTAAGTGGACATTTGGAGCACTTACCGGCCTAAGGTGAAAAAGGAAATATCTTCCCATAAAAACTAGACAGAAGCATTCTCAGAAACTTGCTTATGCTGTATCTACTCAACTAACAAAGTTGAACCTTTCTTTTGATAGAGCAGTTTTGAAATGGTCTTTTTGTGGAATCTGCAAGTGGATATTTGGCTAGTTTTGAGGATTTCGTTGGAAGCGGGAATTCATACAAATTGCAGACTGCAGCGTTCTGAGAAACATCTTTGTGATGTTTGTATTCAGGACACAGAGTTGAACATTCCCTATCATAGAGCAGGTTTGAATCACTCCTTTTGTAGTATCTGGAAGTGGACATTTGGAGCGCTTTCAGGCCTATGTTGGAAAAGGAAATATCTTCCCATAACAACTAGACAGAAGCATTCTCAGAAACTTATTTGAGATGTGTGTACTCAACTAAGAGAATTGAACCACCGTTTTGAAGGAGCAGTTTTGAAACACTCTTTTTCTGGAATCTGCAAGTGGATATTTGGCTAGCTTTGGGGATTTCGCTGGAAGCGGGAATACATATAAAAAGCACACAGCAGCGTTCTGAGAAACTGCTTTCTGATGTTTGCATTCAAGTCAAAAGTTGAACACTCCCTTTCATAGAGCAGTCCTGAAACACTCCTTTTGTAGTATCTGGAACTGGACTTTTGGAGCGCTTTCAGGGCTAAGGTGAAAAAGGAAATATCTTCCCATAAAAACTGGACAGAAGCATTCTCAGAAACTTACTCGTATTGTGTGTCCTCAACTAAAGGAGTAGAACCTTTCTTTTCATAGAGAAGTTTTGAAACGCTCTTTTTGTGGAATCTGCAAGTGGATATTTGGCTAGTTTTGAGGATTTCGTTGGAAGCGGGAATTCATACAAATTGCAGACTGCAGCGTTCTGAGAAACTGCTTTCTGATGTTTGCATTCAAGTCAAAAGTTGAACACTCCCTTTCATAGAGCAGTCTTGAAACACCCCTTTTGTAGTATCTGGAACTGGACTTTTGGAGCGCTTTCAGGGCTAAGGTGAAAAAGGAAATATCTTCCCATAAAAACTGGACAGAAGCATTCTCAGAAACTTGTTTATGCTGTATCTACTCAACTAACAAAGTTGAACCTTTCTTTTGATAGAGCAGTTTTGAAATGCTCTTTTTGTGGAATCTGCAAGTGGATATTTGGCTAGTTTTGAGGATTTCGTTGGAAGCGGGAATTCATACAAATTGCAGACTGCAGCGTTCTGAGAAACATCTTTGTGATGTTTGTATTCAGGACAGAGAGTTGAACATTCCCTATCATAGAGCAGGTTGGAATCACTCCTTTTGTAGTATCTGGAAGTGGAGATTTGGAGCACTTTCAGGCCTATGTTGAAAAAGGAAATATCTTCCCATAACAACTAGACACAAGCATTCTCAGAAACTTGTTTGTGATGTGTGCCCTCTACTGACAGAGTTGAACCTTTCTTTTCATAGAGCAGTTTTGAAACACTCTTTTTGTAGAATCTGCAAGAGGATATTTGCATAGCTTTGAGGATTTCGTGGGAAACGGGATTGTCTTCAGGTAAAATCTAGACAGAAGCATTCTCAGAAACTTCTTTGGGATGTTTGCATTCAAGTCACAGAGTAGAACATTCCCTTTGGTAGAGCAGGTTTGAAACACTCTTTTTATAGTATCTGGAAGTGGACATTTGGAGCGCTTTCAAGCCTATGTTGGAAAGGGAAATATCTTCCCGTAACAACTAGGCAGAAGCATTCTCAGAAACTTATTTGAGATGTGTGTACTCAACTAAGAGAATTGAACCACCGTTTTGAAGGAGCAGTTTTGAAACACTCTTTTTCTGGAATCTGCAAGAGGATATTTGCCTAGCTTGGAGGATTTCGTTGGAAACGGGATTGTCTTCAGATCAAATCTAGACAGAAGCATTCTCAGAAACTTCTTTGGGATGTTTGCATTCAAGTCACAGAGTAGAACATTCCCTTTGGTAGAGCAGGTTTGAAACACTCTTTTTTTAGTATATGGAAGTGGACATTTGGATCGCTTTCAGGCCTACGTTGGAAAAGGAAATATCTTCCCATAACAACTAGACAGAAGCATTCTCAGAAACTAGTTTCTGATGTGTGTCCTCAACTAACACAGTTGAACATTTCTTTAGACAGAACAGTTTTGAAACACTCTTTTTGTGGAATCTGCAAGTGGCTATTTGGCTAGATTTGAGGATTTCGTTGGAAACGGGATTACATATAAAAAGCAGTCAGCAGCATTCTCAGAAAGTTCTTTGTGATGATTGCATTCAAGTCACAGAATTGAACATTCCCTTTCACAGAGCAGGTTTGAAACACTCTTTTTGTAGTGTGTGTAAGTGGACATTTGGAGCACTTACCGGCCTAAGGTGAAAAAGGAAATATCTTCCCATAAAAACTAGACAGAAGCATTCTCAGAAACTTACTCGTGATGTGTGTCCTCAACTAAAGGAGTAGAACCTTTCTTTTCATAGAGAAGTTTTGAAACGCTCTTTTTGTGGAATCTGCAAGTGGATATTTGGCTAGTTTTGAGGATTTCGTTGGAAGCGGGAATTCATACAAATTGCAGACTGCAGCGTTCTGAGAAACATCTTTGTGATGTTTGTATTCAGGACACAGAGTTGAACATTCCCTATCATAGAGCAGGTTTGAATCACTCCTTTTGTAGTATCTGGAAGTGGACATTTGGAGCGCTTTCAGGCCTATGTTGGAAAAGGAAATATCTTCCCATAACAACTAGACAGAAGCATTCTCAGAAACTTATTTGAGATGTGTGTACTCAACTAAGAGAATTGAACCACCGTTTTGAAGGAGCAGTTTTGAAACACTCTTTTTCTGGAATCTGCAAGTGGATATTTGGCTAGCTTTGGGGATTTCGCTGGAAGCGGGAATACATATAAAAAGCACACAGCAGCGTTCTGAGAAACTGCTTTCTGATGTTTGCATTCAAGTCAAAAGTTGAACACTCCCTTTCATAGAGCAGTCTTGAAACACCCCTTTTGTAGTATCTGGAACTGGACTTTTGGAGCGATTTCAGGGCTAAGGTGAAAAAGGAAATATCTTCCCATAAAAACTGGACAGAAGCATTCTCAGAAACTTGTTTATGCTGTATCTACTCAACTAACAAAGTTGAACCTTTCTTTTGATAGAGCAGTTTTGAAATGGTCTTTTTGTGGAATCTGCAAGTGGATATTTGGCTAGTTTTGAGGATTTCGTTGGAAGCGGGAATTCATACAAATTGCAGACTGCAGCGTTCTGAGAAACATCTTTGTGATGTTTGTATTCAGGACACAGAGTTGAACATTCCCTATCATAGAGCAGGTTGGAATCACTCCTTTTGTAGTATCTGGAAGTGGACATTTGGAGCGCTTTCAGGCCTATTTTGGAAAGGGAAATATCTTCCCGTAACAACTATGCAGAAGCATTCTCAGAAACTTGTTTGTGATGTGTGCCCTCTACTGACAGAGTTGAACCTTTCTTTTCATAGAGCAGTTTTGAAACACTCTTTTTGTAGAATCCGCAAGAGGATATTTGCATAGCTTTGAGGATTTCGTGGAAAACGGGATTGTCTTCAGGTAAAATCTAGACAGAAGCATTCTCAGAAACTTTTTTGGGATGTTTGCATTCAAGTCACAGAGTAGAACATTCCCTTTGGTAGAGCAGGTTTGAAACACTCTTTTTGTAGTATCTGGAAGTGGACATTTGGAGCACTATCAGGCCCATGTTGGAAAGGGAAATATCTTCCCGTAACAACTAGGCAGAAGCATTCTCAGAAACTTATTTGAGATGTGTGTACTCAAGTAAGAGAACTGAACCACCGTTTTGAAGGAGCAGTTTTGAAACACTCTTTTTCTGGAATCTGCAAGAGTATATTTGCCTAGCCTTGAGGATTTCGTTGGAAACGGGATTGTCTTCAGACAAAATCTAGACAGAAGCATTGTCAGAAACTTCTTTGAGATGTTTGCATTCAAGTCACAGAGTAGAACATTCCCTTTGGTAGAGTAGGTTTGAAACACTCTTTTTTTAGTATATGGAAGTGGACATTTGGAGCGCTTTCAGGCCTACGTTGGAAAAGGAAATATCTTCCCATAACAACTAGACAGAAGCATTCTCAGAAACTAGTTTCTGATGTGTGTCCTCAACTAACACAGTTGAACATTTCTTTAGACAGAACAGTTTTGAAACTCTCTTTTTGTGGAATCTGCAAGTGGCTATTTGGCTAGATTTGAGGATTTCGTTGGAAACGGGATTACATATAAAAAGCAGACAGCAGCATTTTCAGAAAGTTCTTTGTGATGATTGCATTCAAGTCACAGAATTGAACATTCCCTTTCACAGAGCAGGTTTGAAACACTCTTTTTGTAGTGTGTGTAAGTGGACATTTGGAGCACTTTCCGGCCTAAGGTGAAAAAGGAAATATCTTCCCATAAAAACTAGACAGAAGCATTCTCAGAAACTTACTCGTGATGTGTGTCCTCAACTAAAGGAGTAGAACCTTTGTTTTCATAGAGAAGTTTTGAAACGCTCTTTTTGTGGAATCTGCAAGTGGATATTTGGCTAGTTTTGAGGATTTCGTTGGAAGCGGGAATTCATACAAATTGCAGACTGCAGCGTTCTGAGAAACATCTTTGTGATGTTTGTATTCAGGACACAGAGATGAACATTCCCTATCATAGAGCAGGTTGGAATCACTCCTTTTGTAGTATCTGGAAGTGGACATTTGGAGCGCTTTCAGGCCTATGTTGAAAAAGGAAATATCTTCCCATAACAACTAGACACAAGCATTCTCAGAAACTTATTTGAGATGTGTGTACTCAACTAAGAGAATTGAACCACCGTTTTGAAGGAGCAGTTTTGAAACACTCTTTTTCTGGAATCTGCAAGTGGATATTTGGCTAGCTTTGGGGATTTCGCTGGAAGCGGGAATACATATAAAAAGCACACAGCAGCGTTCTGAGAAACTGCTTTCTGATGTTTGCATTCAAGTCAAAAGTTGAACACTCCCTTTCATAGAGCAGTCTTGAAACACCCCTTTTGTAGTATCTGGAACTGGACTTTTGGAGCGATTTCAGGGCTAAGGTGAAAAAGGAAATATCTTCCCATAAAAACTGGACAGAAGCATTCTCAGAAACTTGTTTATGCTGTATCTACTCAACTAACAAAGTTGAACCTTTCTTTTGATAGAGCAGTTTTGAAATGGTCTTTTTGTGGAATCTGCAAGTGGATATTTGGCTAGTTTTGAGGATTTCGTTGGAAGCGGGAATTCATACAAATTGCAGACTGCAGCGTTCTGAGAAACATCTTTGTGATGTTTGTATTCAGGACAGAGAGTTGAACATTCCCTATCATAGAGCAGGTTGGAATCACTCCTTTTGTAGTATCTGGAAGTGGACATTTGGAGCGCTTTCTGGCCTATGTTGAAAAAGGAAATATCTTCCCATAACAACTAGACACAAGCATTCTCAGAAACTTGTTTGTGATGTGTGCCCTCTACTGACAGAGTTGAACCTTTCTTTTCATAGAGCAGTTTTGAAACACTCTTTTTGTAGAATCTGCAAGAGGATATTTGCATAGCTTTGAGGATTTCGTGGGAAACGGGATTGTCTTCAGGTAAAATCTAGACAGTAGCATTCTCAGAAACTTCTTTGGGATGTTTGCATTCAAGTCACAGAGTAGAACATTCCCTTTGGTAGAGCAGGTTTGAAACACTCTTTTTGTAGTATCTGGAAGTGGACATTTGGAGCGCTTTCAGGCCTATGTTGGAAAGGGAAATATCTTCCGGTAACAACTAGGCAGAAGCATTCTCAGAAACTTATTTGAGATGTGTGTACTCAACTAAGAGAATTGAACCACCGTTTTGAAGGAGCAGTTTTGAAACACTCTTTTTCTGGAATCTGCAAGAGGATATTTGCCTAGCTTTGAGGATTTCGTTGGAAACGGGATTGTGTTCAGATCAAATCTAGACAGAAGCATTCTCAGAAACTTCTTTGGGATGTTTGCATTCAAGTCACAGAGTAGAACATTCCCTTTGGTAGAGCAGGTGTGAATCACTCTTTTTTTAGTATATGGAAGTGGACATTTGGAGCGCTTTCAGGCCTACGTTGGAAAAGGAAATATCTTCCCATAACAACTAGACAGAAGCATTCTCAGAAACTAGTTTCTGATGTGTGTCCTCAACTAACACAGTTGAACATTTCTTTAGACAGAACAGTTTTGAAACACTCTTTTTGTGGAATCTGCAAGTGGCTATTTGGCTAGATTTGAGGATTTCGTTGGAAACGGGATTACATATAAAAAGCAGACAGCAGCATTCTCAGAAAGTTCTTTGTGATGATTGCATTCAAGTCACAGAATTGAACATTCCCTTTCACAGAGCAGGTTTGAAACACTCTTTTTGTAGTGTGTGTAAGTGGACATTTGGAGCACTTTCCGGCCTAAGGTGAAAAAGGAAATATCTTCCCATAAAAACTAGACAGAAGCATTCTCAGAAACTTACTCGTGATGTGTGTCCTCAACTAAAGGAGTAGAACCTTTCTTTTCATAGAGAAGTTTTGAAACGCTCTTTTTGTGGAATCTGCAAGTGGATATTTGGCTAGTTTTGAGGATTTCGTTGGAAGCGGGAATTCATACAAATTGCAGACTGCAGCGTTCTGAGAAACATCTTTGTGATGTTTGTATTCAGGACACAGAGTTGAACATTCCCTATCATAGAGCAGGTTTGAATCACTCCTTTTGTAGTATCTGGAAGTGGACATTTGGAGCGCTTTCAGGCCTATGTTGGAAAAGGAAATATCTTCCCATAACAACTAGACAGAAGCATTCTCAGAAACTTATTTGAGATGTGTGTACTCAACTAAGAGAATTGAACCACCGTTTTGAAGGAGCAGTTTTGAAACACTCTTTTTCTGGAATCTGCAATTGGATATTTGGCTAGCTTTGGGGATTTCGCTGGAAGCGGGAATACATATAAAAAGCACACAGCAGCGTTCTGAGAAACTGCTTTCTGATGTTTGCATTCAAGTCAAAAGTTGAACACTCCCTTTCATAGAGCAGTCCTGAAACACTCCTTTTGTAGTATCTGGAACTGGACTTTTGGAGCGCTTCAGGGCTAAGGTGAAAAAGGAAATATCTTCCCATAAAAACTGGACAGAAGCATTCTCAGAAACTTGTTTATGCTGTATCTACTCAACTAACAAAGTTGAACCTTTCTTTTGATAGAGCAGTTTTGAAATGCTCTTTTTGTGGAATCTGCAAGTGGATATTTGGCTAGTTTTGAGGATTTCGTTGGAAGCGGGAATTCATACAAATTGCAGACTGCAGCGTTCTGAGAAACATCTTTGTGATGTTTGCATTCAGGACAGAGAGTTGAACATTCCCTATCATAGAGCAGGTTGGAATCACTCCTTTTGTAGTATCTGGAAGTGGACATTTGGAGCGCTTTCTGGCCTATGTTGAAAAAGGAAATATCTTCCCATAACAACTAGACACAAGCATTCTCAGAAACTTGTTTGTGATGTGTGCCCTCTACTGACAGAGTTGAACCTTTCTTTTCATAGAGCAGTTTTGAAACACTCTTTTTGTAGAATCTGCAAGAGGATATTTGCATAGCTTTGAGGATTTCGTGGGAAACGGGATTGTCTTCAGGTAAAATCTAGACAGAAGCATTCTCAGAAACTTCTTTGGGATGTTTGCATTCAAGTCACAGAGTAGAACATTCCCTTTGGTAGAGCAGGTTTGAAACCCTCCTTTTGTAGTATCTGGAAGTGGACATTTGGAGCGCTTTCAGGCCCATGTTGGAAAGGGAAATATCTTCCCGTAACAACTAGGCAGAAGCATTCTCAGAAACTTATTTGAGATGTGTGTACTCAACTAAGAGAATTGAACCACCGTTTTGAAGGAGCAGTTTTGAAACACTCTTTTTCTGTAATCTGCAAGAGTATATTTGCCTAGCCTTGAGGATTTCGTTGGAAACGGGATTGTCTTCAGATAAAATCTAGACAGAAGCATTCTCAGAAACTTCTTTGGGATGTTTGCATTCAAGTCACAGAGTAGAACATTCCCTTTGGTAGAGCCGGTTTGAAACACTCTTTTTTTAGTATATGGAAGTGGACATTTGGAGCGCTTTCAGGCCTACGTTGGAAAAGGAAATATCTTCCCATAACAACTAGATAGAAGCATTCTCAGAAACTAGTTTCTGATGTGTGTCCTCAACTAACACAGTTGAACATTTCTTTAGACAGAACAGTTTTGAAACACTCTTTTTGTGGAATCTGCAAGTGGCTATTTGGCTAGATTTGAGGATTTCGTTGGAAACGGGATTACATATAAAAAGCAGTCAGCAGCATTCTCAGAAAGTTCTTTGTGATGATTGCATTCAAGTCACAGAATTGAACATTCCCTTTCACAGAGCAGGTTTGAAACACTCTTTTTGTAGGGTGTGTAAGTGGACATTTGGAGCACTTTCCGGCCTAAGGTGAAAAAGGAAATATCTTCCCATAAAAACTAGACAGAAGCATTCTCAGAAACTTACTCGTGATGTGTGTCCTCAACTAAAGGAGTAGAACCTTTCTTTTCATAGAGAAGTTTTGAAACGCTCTTTTTGTGGAATCTGCAAGTGGATATTTGGCTAGTTTGGAGGATTTCGTTGGAAGCGGGAATTCATACAAATTGCAGACTGCAGCGTTCTGAGAAACATCTTTGTGATGTTTGTATTCAGGACACAGAGTTGAACATTCCCTATCATAGAGCAGGTTTGAATCACTCCTTTTGTAGTATCTGGAAGTGGACATTTGGAGCGCTTTCAGGCCTATGTTGGAAAAGGAAATATCTTCCCATAACAACTAGACAGAAGCATTCTCAGAAACTTATTTGAGATGTGTGTACTCAACTAAGAGAATTGAACCACCGTTTTGAAGGAGCAGTTTTGAAACACTCTTTTTCTGGAATCTGCAAGTGGATATTTGGCTAGCTTTGGGGATTTCGCTGGAAGCGGGAATACATATAAAAAGCACACAGCAGCGTTCTGAGAAACTGCTTTCTGATGTTTGCATTCAAGTCAAAAGTTGAACACTCCCTTTCATAGAGCAGTCTTGAAACACCCCTTTTGTAGTATCTGGAACTGGACTTTTGGAGCGATTTCAGGGCTAAGGTGAAAAAGGAAATATCTTCCCATAAAAACGGACAGAAGCATTCTCAGAAACTTGGTTATGCTGTATCTACTCAACTAACAAAGTTGAACCTTTCTTTTGATAGAGCAGTTTTGAAATGGTCTTTTTGTGGAATCTGCAAGTGGATATTTGGCTAGTTTTGAGGATTTCGTTGGAAGCGGGAATTCATACAAATTGCAGACTGCAGCGTTCTGAGAAACATCTTTGTGATGTTTGTATTCAGGACACAGAGTTGAACATTCCCTATCATAGAGCAGGTTGGAATCACTCCTTTTGTAGTATCTGGAAGTGGACATTTGGAGCGCTTTCAGGCCTATTTTGGAAAGGGAAATATCTTCCCGTAACAACTATGCAGAAGCATTCTCAGAAACTTGTTTGTGATGTGTGCCCTCTACTGACAGAGTTGAACCTTTCTTTTCATAGAGCAGTTTTGAAACACTCTTTTTGTAGAATCTGCAAGAGGATATTTGCATAGCTTTGAGGATTTCGTGGGAAACGGGATTGTCTTCAGGTAAAATCTAGACAGAAGCATTCTCAGAAACTTCTTTGGGATGTTTGCATTCAAGTCACAGAGCAGAACATTACCTTTGGTAGAGCAGGTTTGAAACACTCTTTTTGTAGTATCTGGAAGTGGACATTTGGAGCGCTTTCAGGCCTATGTTGGAAAGGGAAATATCTTCCCGTAACAACTAGGCAGAAGCATTCTCAGAAACTTGTTTGTGATGTGTGCCCTCTACTGACAGAGTTGAACCTTTCTTTTCATAGAGCAGTTTTGAAACACTCTTTTTGTAGAATCTGCAAGAGGATATTTGCATAGCTTTGAGGATTTCGTGGGAAACGGGATTGTCTTCAGATCAAATCTAGACAGAAGCATTCTCAGAAACTTCTTTGGGATGTTTGCATTCAAGTCACAGAGTAGAACATTCCCTTTGGTAGAGCAGGTTTGAAACACTCTTTTTTTAGTATATGGAAGTGGACATTTGGAGCACTTTCAGGCCTACGTTGGAAAAGGAAATATCTTCCCATAACAACTAGACAGAAGCATTCTCAGAAACTAGTTTCTGATGTGTGTCCTCAACTAACACAGTTGAACTTTTCTTTAGACAGAACAGTTTTGAAACACTCTTTTTGTGGAATCTGCAAGTGGCTATTTGGCTAGATTTGAGGATTTCGTTGGAAACGGGATTACATATAAAAAGCAGACAGCAGCATTCTCAGAAAGTTCTTTGTGATGATTGCATTCAAGTCACAGAATTGAACATTCCCTTTCACAGAGCAGGTTTGAAACACTCTTTTTGTAGTGTGTGTAAGTGGACATTTGGAGCACTTACCGGCCTAAGGTGAAAAAGGAAATATCTTCCCATAAAAACTAGACAGAAGCATTCTCAGAAACTTACTCGTGATGTGTGTCCTCAACTAAAGTAGTAGAACCTTTCTTTTCATAGAGAAGTTTTGAAACGCTCTTTTTGTGGAATCTGCAAGTGGATATTTGGCTAGTTTTGAGGATTTCGTTGGAAGCGGGAATTCATACAAATTGCAGACTGCAGCGTTCTGAGAAACATCTTTGTGATGTTTGTATTCAGGACACAGAGTTGAACATTCCCTATCATAGAGCAGGTTTGAATCACTCCTTTTGTAGTATCTGGAAGTGGACATTTGGAGCGCTTTCAGGCCTATGTTGGAAAAGGAAATATCTTCCCATAACAACTAGACAGAAGCATTCTCAGAAACTTATTTGAGATGGGTGTACTCAACTAAGAGAATTGAACCACCGTTTTGAAGGAGCAGTTTTGAAACGCTCTTTTTCTGGAATCTGCAAGTGGATATTTGGCTAGCTTTGGGGATTTCGCTGGAAGCGGGAATACATATAAAAAACACACAGCAGCGTTCTGAGAAACTGCTTTCTGATGTTTGCATTCAAATCAAAAGTTGAACACTCCCTTTCATAGAGCAGTCTTGAAACACCCCTTTTGTAGTATCTGGAACTGGACATTTGGGGCGCTTTCAGGGCTAAGGTGAAAAAGGAAATATCTTCCCATAAAAACTGGACAGAAGCATTCTCAGAAACTTGTTTATGCTGTATCTACTCTACTAACAAAGTTGAACCTTTCTTTTGATAGAGCAGTTTTGAAATGCTCTTTTTGTGGAATCTGCAAGTGGATATTTGGCTAGTTTTGAGGATTTCGTTGGAAGCTGGAATTCATACAAATTGCAGACTGCAGCGTTCTGAGAAACATCTTTGTGATGTTTGTATTCAGGACACAGAGTTGAACATTCCCTATCATAGAGCAGGTTGGAATCACTCCTTTTGTAGTATCTGGAAGTGGACATTTGGAGCGCTTTCAGGCCTATTTTGGAAAGGGAAATATCTTCCCGTAACAACTATGCAGAAGCATTCTCAGAAACTTATTTGAGATGTGTGTACTCAACTAAGAGAATTGAACCACCGTTTTGAAGGAGCAGTTTTGAAACACTCTTTTTCTGGAATCTGCAAGAGTATATTTGCCTAGCCTTGAGGATTTCGTTGGAAACGGGATTGTCTTCAGAGAAAATCTAGACAGAAGCATTCTCAGAAACTTCGTTGGGTGTTTTCATTCAATTCACAGAGTAGAACATTCCCTTTGTTAGAGCAGGTTTGAAACACTCTTTTTTTAGTATATGGAAGTGGACATTTGGAGCGCTTTCAGGCCTACGTTGGAAAAGGAAATATCTTCCCATAACAACTAGACAGAAGCATTCTCAGAAACTAGTTTCTGATGTGTGTCCTCAACTAACACAGTTGAACATTTCTTTAGACAGAACAGTTTTGAAACACTCTTTTTGTGGAATCTCCAAGTGGCTATTTGGCTAGATTTGAGGATTTCTTTGGAAACGGGATTACATATAAAAAGCTGACAGCAGCATTCTCAGAAACTTCTTTGTGATGATTGCATTCAAGTCACAGAATTGAACATTCCCTTTCACAGAGCAGGTTTGAAACACTCTTTTTGTAGTGTGTGTAAGTGGACATTTGGAGCGCTTTCCGGCCTAAGGTGAACAAGGAAATATCTTCCCATAAAAACTAGACAGAAGCATTCTCAGAAACTTACTCGTGATGTGTGTCCTCAACTAAAGGAGTAGAACCTTTCTTTTCATAGAGAAGTTTTGAAACGCTCTTTTTGTGGAATCTGCTAGTGGATATTTGGCTAGTTTTGAGGATTTCGTTGGAAGCGGGAATTCATACAAATTGCAGACTGCAGCGTTCTGAGAAACATCTTTGTGATGTTTGTATTCAGGACACAGAGTTGAACATTCCCTATCATAGAGCAGGTTGGAATCACTCCTTTTGTAGTATCTGGAAGTGGACATTTGGAGCGCTTTCAGGCCTATGTTGAAAAAGGAAATATCTTCCCATAACAACTAGACAGAAGCATTCTCAGAAACTTGTTTGTGATGTGTGCCCTCTACTGACACAGTTGAACCTTTCTTTTCATAGAGCACTTTCGAAACACTCTTTTTGTAGAATCTGAAAGAGGATATTTGCATAGCTTTGAGGATTTCGTGGGAAACGGGATTGTCTTCAGGTAAAATCTAGACAGAAGCATTCTCAGAAACTTCTTTGGGATGTTTGCATTCAAGTCACAGAGTAGAACATTCCCTTTGGTAGAGCAGGTTTGAAACACTCTTTTTGTAGTATCTGGAAGTGGACATTTGGAGCGCTTTCAGGACCATGTTGGAAAGGGAAATATCTTCCCGTAACAACTAGGCAGAAGCATTCTCAGAAACTTATTTGAGATGTGTGTACTCAACTAAGAGAATTGAACCACCGTTTTGAAGGAGCAGTTTTGAAACCCTCTTTTTCTGGAATCTGCAGGAGTATATTTGCCTAGCCTTGAGGATTTCGTTGGAAACGGGATTGTCTTCAGAGAAAATCTAGACAGAAGCATTCTCAGAAACTTCTTTGGGATGTTTGCATTCAAGTCACAGAGTAGAACATTCCCTTTGGTAGAGCAGGTTTGAAACACTCTTTTTTTAGTATATGGAAGTGGACATTTGGAGCGCTTTCAGGCCTACGTTGGAAAAGGAAATATCTTCCCATAACAACTAGACAGAAGCATTCTCAGAAACTAGATTCTGATGTGTGTCCTCAACTAACACAGTTGTACATTTCTTTAGACAGAACAGTTTTGAAACAGTCTTTTTGTGGAATCTGCAAGTGCATATTTGGCCAGATTTGAGGATTTCGTTGGAAACGGGATTACGTATAAAAAGCAGTCAGCAGCATTCTCAGAAAGTTCTTTGTGATGATTGCATTCAAGTCACAGAATTGAACATTCCCTTTCACAGAGCAGGTTTGAAAGACTCTTTTTGTAGTGTGTGTAAGTGGACATTTGGAGCACTTACCGGCCTAAGGTGAAAAAGGAAATATCTTCCCATAAAAACTAGACAGAAGCATTCTCAGAAACTTACTCGTGATGTGTGTCCTCAACTAAAGGAGTAGAACCTTTCTTTTCATAGAGAAGTTTTGAAACGCTCTTTTTGTGGAATCTGCAAGTGGATATTTGGCTAGTTTTGAGGATTTCGTTGGAAGCGGGAATTCATACAAATTGCAGACTGCAGCGTTCTGAGAAACATCTTTGTGATGTTTGTATTCAGGACACAGAGTTGAACATTCCCTATCATAGAGCAGGTTTGAATCACTCCTTTTGTAGTATCTGGAAGTGGACATTTGGAGCGCTTTCAGGCCTATGTTGGAAAAGGAAATATCTTCCCATAACAACTAGACAGAAGCATTCCCAGAAACTTATTTGAGATGTGTGTACTCTACTAAGAGAATTGAACCACCGTTTTGAAGGAGCAGTTTGGAAACACTCTTTTTCTGGAATCTGCAAGTGGATATTTGGCTAGCTTTGGGGATTTCGCTGGAAGCGGGAATACATATAAAAAGCACACAGCAGCGTTCTGAGAAACTGCTTTCTGATGTTTGCATTCAAGTCAAAAGTTGAACACTCCCTTTCATAGGGCAGTCCTGAAACACCCCTTTTGTAGTATCTGGAACTGGACTTTTGGAGCGATTTCAGGGCTAAGGTGAAAAAGGAAATATCTTCCCATAAAAACTGGACAGAAGCATTCTCAGAAACTTGTTTATGCTGTATCTACTCAACTAACAAAGTTGAACCTTTCTTTTGATAGAGCAGTTTTGAAATGGTCTTTTTGTGGAATCTGCAAGTGGATATTTGGCTAGTTTTGAGGATTTCGTTGGAAGCGGGAATTCATACAAATTGCAGACTGCAGCGTTCTGAGAAACATCTTTGTGATGTTTGTATTCAGGACACAGAGTTGAACATTCCCTATCATAGAGCAGGTTTGAATCACTCCTTTTGTAGTATCTGGAAGTGGACATTTGGAGCGCTTTCAGGCCTATGTTGGAAAAGGAAATATCTTCCCATAACAACTAGACAGAAGCATTCTCAGAAACTTATTTGAGATGTGTGTACTCAACTAAGAGAATTGAACCACCGTTTTGAAGGAGCAGTTTTGAAACACTCTTTTTCTGGAATCTGCAAGTGGATATTTGGCTAGCTTTGGGGATTTCGCTGGAGGCGGGAATACATATAAAAAGCACACAGCAGCGTTCTGAGAAACTGCTTTCTGATGTTTGCATTCAAGTCAAAAGTTGAACACTCCCTTTCATAGAGCAGTCCTGAAACACTCCTTTTGTAGTATCTGGAACTGGACTTTTGGAGCGCTTTCAGGGCTAAGGTGAAAAAGGAAATATCTTCCCATAAAAACTGGACAGAAGCATTCTCAGAAACTTGTTTATGCTGTATCTA
Organism: Homo sapiens; assembly: GCF_000001405.40. Taxonomy (NCBI): domain Eukaryota; kingdom Metazoa; phylum Chordata; class Mammalia; order Primates; family Hominidae; genus Homo; species Homo sapiens. Next base: position 19,112,046 of record NC_000018.10, read on the forward strand.
CTCAACTAACAAATTTGAACCTTTCTTTTGATAGAGCAGTTTTGAAATGCTCTTTTCGTGGAATCTGCAAGTGGATATTTGGCTAGTTTTGAGGATTTCGTTGGAAGCGGGAATTCATACAAATTGCAGACTGCAGCGTTCTGAGAAACATCTTTGTGATGTTTGTATTCAGGACAGAGAGTTGAACATTCCCTATCATAGAGCAGGTTGGAATCACTCCTTTTGTAGTATCTGGAAGTGGACATTTGGAGCGCTTTCAGGCCTATGTTGAAAAAGGAAATATCTTCCCATAACAACTAGACACAAGCATTCTCAGAAACTTGTTTGTGATGTGTGCCCTCTACTGACAGAGTTGAACCTTTCTTTTCCATAGAGCAGTTTGGAAACACTCTATTTGTAGAATCTGCAAGAGGATATTTGCATAGCTTTGAGGATTTCGTGGGAAACGGGATTGTCTTCAGGTAAAATCTAGACAGAAGCATTCTCAGAAACTTCTTTGGGATGTTTGCATTCAAGTCACAGAGCAGAACATTCCCTTTGGTAGAGCAGGTTTGAAACACTCTTTTTGTAGTATCTGGAAGTGGACATTTGGAGCGCTTTCAGGCCTATGTTGGAAAGGGAAATATCTTCCCGTAACAACTAGGCAGAAGCATTCTCAGAAACTTATTTGAGATGTGTGTACTCAACTAAGAGAATTGAACCACCGTTTTGAAGGAGCAGTTTTGAAACACTCTTTTTCTGGAATCTGCAAGAGTATATTTGCCTAGCCTTGAGGATTTCGTTGGAAACGGGATTGTCTTCAGAGAAAATCTAGACAGAAGCATTCTCAGAAACTTCTTTGGGATGTTTGCATTCAAGTCACAGAGTAGAACATTCCCTTTGGTAGAGCAGGTTTGAAACACTCTTTTTTTAGTATATGGAAGTGGACATTTGGATCGCTTTCAGGCCTACGTTGGAAAAGGAAATATCTTCCCATAACAACTAGACAGAAGCATTCTCAGAAACTAGTTTCTGATGTGTGTCCTCAACTAACACAGTTGAACATTTCTTTAGACAGAACAGTTTTGAAACACTCTTTTTGTGGAATCTGCAAGTGGCTATTTGGCTAGATTTGAGGATTTCGTTGGAAACGGGATTACATATAAAAAGCAGTCAGCAGCATTCTCAGAAAGTTCTTTGTGATGATTGCATTCAAGTCACAGAATTGAACATTCCCTTTCACAGAGCAGGTTTGAAACACTCTTTTTGTAGTGTGTGTAAGTGGACATTTGGAGCACTTACCGGCCTAAGGTGAAAAAGGAAATATCTTCCCATAAAAACTAGACAGAAGCATTCTCAGAAACTTACTCGTGATGTGTGTCCTCAACTAAAGGAGTAGAACCTTTCTTTTCATAGAGAAGTTTTGAAACGCTCTTTTTGTGGAATCTGCAAGTGGATATTTGGCTAGTTTTGAGGATTTCGTTGGAAGCGGGAATTCATACAAATTGCAGACTGCAGCGTTCTGAGAAACATCTTTGTGATGTTTGTATTCAGGACACAGAGTTGAACATTCCCTATCATAGAGCAGGTTTGAATCACTCCTTTTGTAGTATCTGGAAGTGGACATTTGGAGCGCTTTCAGGCCTATGTTGGAAAAGGAAATATCTTCCCATAACAACTAGACAGAAGCATTCTCAGAAACTTATTTGAGATGTGTGTACTCAACTAAGAGAATTGAACCACCGTTTTGAAGGAGCAGTTTTGAAACTCTCTTTTTCTGGAATCTGCAAGTGGATATTTGGCTAGCTTTGGGGATTTCGCTGGAAGCGGGAATACATATAAAAAGCACACAGCAGCGTTCTGAGAAACTGCTTTCTGATGTTTGCATTCAAGTCAAAAGTTGAACACTCCCTTTCATAGAGCAGTCCTGAAACACCCCTTTGGTAGTATCTGGAACTGGACTTTTGGAGCGATTTCAGGGCTAAGGTGAAAAAGGAAATATCTTCCCATAAAAACTGGACAGAAGCATTCTCAGAAACTTGTTTATGCTGTATCTACTCAACTAACAAAGTTGAACCTTTCTTTTGATAGAGCAGTTTTGAAATGGTCTTTTTGTGGAATCTGCAAGTGGATATTTGGCTAGTTTTGAGGATTTCGTTGGAAGCGGGAATTCATACAAATTGCAGACTGCAGCGTTCTGAGAAACATCTTTGTGATGTTTGTATTCAGGACACAGAGTTGAACATTCCCTATCATAGAGCAGGTTGGAATCACTCCTTTTGTAGTATCTGGAAGTGGACATTTGGAGCGCTTTCAGGCCTATGTTGAAAAAGGAAATATCTTCCCATAACAACTAGACACAAGCATTCTCAGAAACTTGTTTGTGATGTGTGCCCTCTACTGACAGAGTTGAACCTTTCTTTTCATAGAGCAGTTTTGAAACACTCTTTTTGTAGAATCTGCAAGAGGATATTTGCATAGCTTTGAGGATTTCGTGGGAAACGGGATTGTCTTCAGGTAAAATCTAGACAGAAGCATTCTCAGAAACTTCTTTGGGATGTTTGCATTCAAGTCACAGAGTAGAACATTCCCTTTGGTAGAGCAGGTTTGAAACACTCTTTTTGTAGTATCTGGAAGGGGACATTTGGAGCGCTTTCAGGCCTATGTTGGAAAGGGAAATATCTTCCGGTAACAACTAGGCAGAAGCATTCTCAGAAACTTATTTGAGATGTGTGTACTCAACTAAGAGAATTGAACCACCGTTTTGAAGGAGCAGTTTTGAAACACTCTTTTTCAGGAATCTGCAAGAGGACATTTGCCTAGCCTTGAGGATTTCGTTGGAAACGGGATTGTCTTCAGATATAATCTAGACAGAAGCATTTTCAGAAACTTCTTTGGGATGTTTGCATTCAAGTCACAGAGTAGAACATTCCCTTTGGTAGAGCAGGTTTGAAACACTCTTTTTTTAGTATATGGAAGTGGACATTTGGAGCGCTTTCAGGCCTACGTTGGAAAAGGAAATATCTTACCATAACAACTAGACAGAAGCATTCTCAGAAACTAGTTTCTGATGTGTGTCCTCAACTAACACAGTTGAACTTTTCTTTAGACAGAACAGTTTTGAAACACTCTTTTTGTGGAATCTGCAAGTGGATATTTGGCTAGATTTGAGGATTTCGTTGGAAACGGGATTACATATAAAAAGCAGACAGCAGCATTCTCAGAAAGTTCTTTGTGATGATTGCATTCAAGTCACAGAATTGAACATTCCCTTTCACAGAGCAGGTTTGAAACTCTCTTTTTGTAGTGTGTGTAAGTGGACATTTGGAGCACTTTCTGGCCTAAGGTGAAAAAGGAAATATCTTCCCATAAAAACTAGACAGAAGCATTCTCAGAAACTTACTCGTGATGTGTGTCCTCAACTAAAGGAGTAGAACCTTTGTTTTCATAGAGAAGTTTTGAAACGCTCTTTTTGTGGAATCTGCAAGTGGATATTTGGCTAGTTTTGAGGATTTCGTTGGAAGCGGGAATTCATACAAATTGCAGACTGCAGCGTTCTGAGAAACATCTTTGTGATGTTTGTATTCAGGACACAGAGTTGAACATTCCCTATCATAGAGCAGGTTGGAATCACTCCTTTTGTAGTATCTGGAAGTGGACATTTGGAGCGCTTTCAGGCCTATGTTGGAAAAGGAAATATCTTCCCATAACAACTAGACAGAAGCATTCTCAGAAACTTATTTGAGATGTGTGTACTCAACTAAGAGAATTGAACCACCGTTTTGAAGGAGCAGTTTTGAAACTCTCTTTTTCTGGAATCTGCAAGTGGATATTTGGCTAGCTTTGGGGATTTCGCTGGAAGCGGGAATACATATAAAAAGCACACAGCAGCGTTCTGAGAAACTGCTTTCTGATGTTTGCATTCAAGTCAAAAGTTGAACACTCCCTTTCATAGAGCAGTCTTGAAACACCCCTTTTGTAGTATCTGGAACTGGACTTTTGGAGCGATTTCAGGGCTAAGGTGAAAAAGGAAATATCTTCCCATAAAAACTGGACAGAAGCATTCTCAGAAACTTGGTTATGCTGTATCTACTCAACTAACAAAGTTGAACCTTTCTTTTGATAGAGCAGTTTTGAAATGGTCTTTTTGTGGAATCTGCAAGTGGATATTTGGCTAGTTTTGAGGATTTCGTTGGAAGCGGGAATTCATACAAATTGCAGACTGCAGCGTTCTGAGAAACATCTTTGTGATGTTTGTATTCAGGACAGAGAGTTGAACATTCCCTATCATAGAGCAGGTTGGAATCACTCCTTTTGTAGTATCTGGAAGTGGACATTTGGAGCGCTTTCAGGCCTATGTTGAAAAAGGAAATATCTTCCCATAACAACTAGACACAAGCATTCTCAGAAACTTGTTTGTGATGTGTGCCCTCTACTGACAGAGTTGAACCTTTCTTTTCATAGAGCAGTTTTGAAACACTCTTTTTGTAGAATCTGCAAGAGGATATTTGCATAGCTTTGAGGATTTCGTGGGAAACGGGATTGTCTTCAGGTAAAATCTAGACAGAAGCATTCTCAGAAACTTCTTTGGGATGTTTGCATTCAAGTCACAGAGCAGAACATTCCCTTTGGTAGAGCAGGTTTGAAACACTCTTTTTGTAGTATCTGGAAGTGGACATTTGGAGCGCTTTCAGGCCTATGTTGGAAAGGGAAATATCTTCCCGTAACAACTAGGCAGAAGCATTCTCAGAAACTTATTTGAGATGTGTGTACTCAACTAAGAGAATTGAACCACCGTTTTGAAGGAGCAGTTTTGAAACACTCTTTTTCTGGAATCTGCAAGAGGATATTTGCCTAGCCTTGAGGATTTCGTTGGAAACGGGATTGTCTTCAGAGAAAATCTAGACAGGAAGCATTCTCAGAAACTTCTTTGGGATGTTTGCATTCAAGTCACAGAGTAGAACATTCCCTTTGGTAGAGCAGGTTTGAAACACTCTTTTTTTAGTATATGGAAGTGGACATTTGGAGCGCTTTCAGGCCTACGTTGGAAAAGGAAATATCTTCCCATAACAACTAGACAGAAGCATTCTCAGAAACTAGTTTCTGATGTGTGTCCTCAACTAACACAGTTGTACATTTCCTTAGACAGAACAGTTTTGAAACACTCTTTTTGTGGAATCTGCAAGTGGATATTGGGCTAGATTTGAGGATTTCGTTGGAAACGGGATTACATATAAAAAGCAGTCAGCAGCATTCTCAGAAAGTTCTTTGTGATGATTGCATTCAAGTCACAGAATTGAACATTCCCTTTCACAGAGCAGGTTTGAAACACTCTTTTTGTAGTGTGTGTAAGTGGACATTTGGAGTGCTTTCCGGCCTAAGGTGAAAAAGGACATATCTTCCCATAAAAACTAGACAGAAGCATTCTCAGAAACTTACTCGTGATGTGTGCCCTCAACTAAAGGAATAGAACCTTTCTATTCATAGAGAAGTTTTGAAACGCTCTTTTTGTGGAATCTCCAAGTGGATATTTGGCTAGTTTTGAGGATTTCGTTGGAAGCGGGAATTCATCCAAATTGCAGACTGCAGCGTTCTGAGAAACATCTTTGTGATGTTTGTATTCAAGACACAGAGATGAACATTCCCTATCATAGAGCATGTTGGAATCACTCCTTTTGTAGTATCTGGAAGTGGACATTTGGAGCGCTTTCAGGCCTATGTTGAAAAAGGAAATATCTTCCCATAACAACTAGACACAAGCATTCTCAGAAACTTGTTTGTGATGTGTGCCCTCTACTGACAGAGTTGAACCTTTCTTTTCATAGAGCAGTTTTGAAACACTCTTTTTGTAGAATCTGCAAGAGGATATTTGCATAGCTTTGAGGATTTCGTGGGAAACGGGATTGTCTTCAGGTAAAATCTAGACAGAAGCATTCTCAGAAACTTCTTTGGGATGTTTGCATTCAAGTCACAGCAGTAGAACATTCCCTTTGGTAGAGCAGGTTTGAAACACTCTTTTTGTAGTATCTGGAAGTGGACATTTGGAGCACTTTCAGGCCCATGTTGGAAAGGGAAATATCTTCCCGTAACAACTAGGCAGAAGCATTCTCTGAAACTTTTTTGAGATGTGTGTACGCAACTAAGAGAATTGAACCACCGTTTTGAAGGAGCAGTTTTGAAACACTCTTTTTCTGGAATCTGCTAGACGATATTTGCCTAGCCTTGAGGATTTCGTTGGAAACGGGATTGTCTTCAGATAAAATCTAGACAGAAGCATTCTCAGAAACTTCTTTGGGATGTTTGTATTCAAGTCACAGAGTAGAACATTCCCTTTGATAGAGCAGGTTTGAAACACTCTTTTTTTAGTATATGGAAATGGACATTTGGAGCGCTTTCAGGCCTACGTTGGAAAAGGAAATATCTTCCCATAACAACTAGACAGAAGCATTCTCAGAAACTAGTTTCTGATGTGTGTCCTCAACTAACACAGTTGAACATTTCTTTAGACAGAACAGTTTTGAAACACTCTTTTTGTGGAATCTGCAAGTGGATATTTGGCTAGATTTGAGGATTTCGTTGGAAACGGGATTACATATAAAAAGCAGACAGCAGCATTCTCAGAAACTTCTTTGTGATGATTGCATTCAAGTCACAGAATTGAACATTCCCTTTCACAGAGCAGGTTTGAAACACTCTTTTTGTAGTGTGTGTAAGTGGACATTTGGAGCGCTTTCCGGCCTAAGGTGAACAAGGAAATATCTTCCCATAAAAACTAGACAGAAGCATTCTCAGAAACTTACTCGTGATGTGTGTCCTCAACTAAAGGAGTAGAACCTTTCTTTTCATAGAGAAGTTTTGAAACGCTCTTTTTGTGGAATCTGCAAGTGGATATTTGGCTAGTTTGGAGGATTTCGTTGGAAGCGGGAATTCATACAAGATGCAGACTGCAGCGTTCTGAGAAACATCTTTGTGATGTTTGTATTCAGGACACAGAGTTGAACATTCCCTATCATAGAGCAGGTTTGAATCACTCCTTTTGTAGTATCTGGAAGTGGACATTTGGAGCGCTTTCAGGCCCTATGTTGGAAAAGGAAATATCTTCCCATAACAAATAGACAGGAAGCATTCTCAGAAACTTATTTGAGATGTGTGTACTCAACTAAGAGAATTGAACCACCGTTTTGAAGGAGCAGTTTTGAAACTCTCTTTTTCTGGAATCTGCAAGTGGATATTTGGCTAGCTTTGGGGATTTCGCTGGAAGCGGGAATACATATAAAAAGCACACAGCAGCGTTCTGAGAAACTGCTTTCTGATGTTTGCATTCAAGTCAAAAGTTGAACACTCCCTTTCATAGAGCAGTCTTGAAACACCCCTTTTGTAGTATCTGGAACTGGACTTTTGGAGCGATTTCAGGGCTAAGGTGAAAAAGGAAATATCTTCCCATAAAAACTGGACAGAAGCATTCTCAGAAACTTGTTTATGCTGTATCTACTCAACTAACAAAGTTGAACCTTTCTTTTGATAGAGCAGTTTTGAAATGGTCTTTTTGTGGAATCTGCAAGTGGATATTTGGCTAGTTTTGAGGATTTCGTTGGAAGCGGGAATTCATACAAATTGCAGACTGCAGCGTTCTGAGAAACATCTTTGTGATGTTTGTATTCAGGACACAGAGTTGAACATTCCCTATCATAGAGCAGGTTGGAATCACTCCTTTTGTAGTATCTGGAAGTGGACATTTGGAGCGCTTTCAGGCCTATTTTGGAAAGGGAAATATCTTCCCGTAACAACTATGCAGAAGCATTCTCAGAAACTTGTTTGTGATGTGTGCCCTCTACTGACAGAGTTGAACCTTTCTTTTCATAGAGCAGTTTTGAAACACTCTTTTTGTAGAATCTGCAAGAGGATATTTGCATAGCTTTGAGGATTTCGTGGGAAACGGGATTGTCTTCAGGTAAAATCTAGACAGAAGCATTCTCAGAAACTTCTTTGGGATGTTTGCATTCAAGTCACAGAGTAGAACATTCCCTTTGGTAGAGCAGGTTTGAAACACTCTTTTTGTAGTATCTGGAAGTGGACATTTGGAGCGCTTTCAGGCCTACGTTGGAAAAGGAAATATCTTCCCATAACAACTAGACAGAAGCATTCTCAGAAACTAGTTTCTGATGTGTGTCCTCAACTAACACAGTTGTACATTTCTTTATACAGAACAGTTTTGAAACACTCTTTTTGTGGAATCTGCAAGTGGATATTTGGCTAGATTTGAGTATTTCGTTGGAAACGGGATTACATATAAAAAGCAGTCAGCAGCATTCTCAGAAAGTTCTTTGTGATGATTGTATTCAAGTCACAGAATTGAACATTCCCTTTCACAGAGCAGGTTTGAAACACTCTTTTTGTAGTGTGTGTAAGTGGACATTTGGAGCGCTTTCCGGCCTAAGGTGAAAAAGGACATATCTTCCCATAAAAACTAGACAGAAGCACTCTCAGAAAGTTACTCGTGATGTGTGTCCTCAACTAAAGAAGTAGAACCTTTCTTTTCATAGATAAGTTTTGAAACGCTCTTTTTGTGGAATCTGCAAGTGGATATTTGGCTAGTTTGGAGGATTTCGTTGGAAGCGGGAATTCATACAAATTGCAGACTGCAGCGTTCTGAGAAACATCTTTGTGATGTTTGTATTCAGGACACAGAGTTGAACATTCCCTATCATAGAGCAGGTTGGAATCACTCCTTTTGTAGTATCTGGAAGTGGACATTTGGAGCGCTTTCAGGCCTATGTTGGAAAAGGAAATATCTTCCCATAACAACTAGACAGAAGCATTCTCAGAAACTTATTTGAGATGTGTGTACTCAACTAAGAGAATTGAACCACCGTTTTGAAGGAGCAGTTTTGAAACACTCTTTTTCTGGAATCTGCAAGTGGATATTTGGCTAGCTTTGGGGATTTCGCTGGAAGCGGGAATACATATAAAAAGCACACAGCAGCGTTCTGAGAAACTGCTTTCTGATGTTTGCATTCAAGTCAAAAGTTGAACACTCCCTTTCATAGAGCAGTCCTGAAACACTCCTTTTGTAGTATCTGGAACTGGACTTTTGGAGCGCTTTCAGGGCTAAGGTGAAAATGGAAATATCTTCCCATAAAAACTGGACAGAAGCATTCTCAGAAACTTGTTTATGCTGTATCTACTCAACTAACAAAGTTGAACCTTTCTTTTGATAGAGCAGTTTTGAAATGGTCTTTTTGTGGAATCTGCAAGTGGATATTTGGCTAGTTTTGAGGATTTCGTTGGAAGCGGGAATTCATACAAATTGCAGACTGCAGCGTTCTGAGAAACATCTTTGTGATGTTTGTATTCAGGACAGAGAGTTGAACATTCCCTATCATAGAGCAGGTTGGAATCACTCCTTTTGTAGTATCTGGAAGTGGACATTTGGAGCGCTTTCAGGCCTATGTTGAAAAAGGAAATATCTTCCCATAACAACTAGACACAAGCATTCTCAGAAACTTGTTTGTGATGTGTGCCCTCTACTGACAGAGTTGAACCTTTCTTTTCATAGAGCAGTTTTGAAACACTCTTTTTGTAGAATCTGCAAGAGGATATTTGCATAGCTTTGAGGATTTCGTGGGAAACGGGATTGTCTTCAGGTAAAATCTAGACAGAAGCATTCTCAGAAACTTCTTTGGGATGTTTGCATTCAAGTCACAGAGTAGAACATTCCCTTTGGTAGAGCAGGTTTGAAACACTCTTTTTGTAGTATCTGGAAGTGGACATTTGGAGCGCTTTCAGGCCTATGTTGGAAAGGGAAATATCTTCCCGTAACAACTAGGCAGAAGCATTCTCAGAAACTTATTTGAGATGTGTGTACTCAACTAAGAGAATTGAACCACCGTTTTGAAGGAGCAGTTTTGAAACACTCTTTTTCTGGAATCTGCAAGAGGATATTTGCCTAGCTTTGAGGATTTCGTTGGAAACGGGATTGTGTTCAGATCAAATCTAGACAGAAGCATTCTCAGAAACTTCTTTGGGATGCTTGCATTCAAGTCACAGAGTAGAACATTCCCTTTGGTAGAGCAGGTTTGAAACACTCTTTTTGTAGTATCTGGAAGTGGACATTTGGAGCGCTTTCAGGCCTACGTTGGAAAAGGAAATATCTTCCCATAACAACTAGACAGAAGCATTCTCAGAAACTAGTTTCTGATGTGTGTCCTCAACTAACACAGTTGAACATTTCTTTAGACAGAACAGTTTTGAAACACTCTTTTTGTGGAATCTGCAAGTGGCTATTTGGCTAGATTTGAGGATTTCGTTGGAAACGGGATTACATATAAAAAGCAGTCAGCGGCATTCTCAGAAAGTTCTTTGTGATGATTGCATTCAAGTCACAGAATTGAACATTCCCTTTCACAGAGCAGGTTTGAAACACTCTTTTTGTAGTGTGTGTAAGTGGACATTTGGAGCACTTACCGGCCTAAGGTGAAAAAGGAAATAATCTTCCCATAAAAACTAGACAGAAGCATTCTCAGAAACTTACTCGTGATGTGTGTCCTCAACTAAAGGAGTAGAACCTTTCTTTTCATAGAGAAGTTTTGAAACGCTCTTTTTGTGGAATCTGCAAGTGGATATTTGGCTAGTTTTGAGGATTTCGTTGGAAGCGGGAATTCATACAAATTGCAGACTGCAGCGTTCTGAGAAACATCTTTGTGATGTTTGTATTCAGGACACAGAGTTGAACATTCCCTATCATAGAGCAGGTTGGAATCACTCCTTTTGTAGTATCTGGAAGTGGACATTTGGAGCGCTTTCAGGCCTATGTTGGAAAAGGAAATATCTTCCCATAACAACTAGACAGAAGCATTCTCAGAAACTTATTTGAGATGTGTGTACTCAACTAAGAGAATTGAACCACCGTTTTGAAGGAGCAGTTTTGAAACTCTCTTTTTCTGGAATCTGCAAGTGGATATTTGGCTAGCTTTGGGGATTTCGCTGGAAGCGGGAATACATATAAAAAGCACACAGCAGCGTTCTGAGAAACTTCTTTCTGATGTTCGCATTCAAGTCAAAAGTTGAACACTCCCTTTCATAGAGCAGTCTTGAAACTCCCCTTTTGTGGTATCTGGAAGTGGACATTTGGAGTGCTTTCAGGGCTAAGGTGAGAAAGGAAATATCTTCCCATAAAAACTGGACAGAAGCATTCTCAGAAACTTGTTTATGCTGTATCTACTCAGCTAACAAAGTTGAACCTTTCTTTTGATAGAGCAGTTTTGAAATGCTCTTTTTGTGGAGTCTGCAAATGGATATTTGGTTAGTTTTGAGGATTTCTTTGGAAGCGGGAATTCATACAAATTGCAGACTGCAGCGTTCTGAGAAACATCTTTGTGATGTTTGTATTCAGGACACAGAGTTGAACATTCCCTATCATAGAGCAGGTTGGAATCACTCCTTTTGTAGTATCTGGAAGTGGACATTTGGAGCGCTTTCAGGCCTATGTTGAAAAAGGAAATATCTTCCCATAACAAGTAGACACAAGCATTCTCAGAAACTTGTTTGTGATGTGTGCCCTCTACTGACAGAGTTGAACCTTTCTTTTCATAGAGCAGTTTTGAAACACTCTTTTTGTAGAATCTGCAAGAGGATATTTGCATAGCTTTGAGGATTTCGTGGGAAACGGGATTGTCTTCAGGTAAAATCTAGACAGAAGCATTCTCAGAAACTTCTTTGGGATGTTTGCATTCAAGTCACAGAGTAGAACATTCCGTTTGGTAGAGCAGGTTTGAAACACTCTTTTTGTAGTATCTGGAAGTGGACATTTGGAGCGCTTTCAGGCCTATGTTGGAAAGGGAAATATCTTCCCTTAACAACTAGGCAGAAGCATTCTCAGAAACTTATTTGAGATGTGTGTACTCAACTAAGAGAATTGAACCACCGTTTTGAAGGACCAGTTTTGAAACACTCTTTTTCTGGAATCTGCAAGAGTATATTTGCCTAGCTTTGAGGATTTCGTTGGAAACGGGATTGTCTTCAGATCAAATCTAGACAGAAGCATTCTCAGAAACTTCTTTGGGATGTTTGCATTCAAGTCACAGAGTAGAACATTCCCTTTGGTAGAGCAGGTTTGAAACACTCTTTTTTTAGTATATGGAAGTGGACATTTGGAGCGCTTTCAGGCCTACGTTGGAAAAGGAAATATCTTCCCATAACAACTAGACAGAAGCATTCTCAGAAACTAGTTTCTGATGTGTGTCCTCAACTAAAACAGTTGTACATTTCTTTACACAGAACAGTTTTGAAACACTCTTTTTGTGGTATCTGCAAGTGGATATTGGGGTAGATTTGAGGATTTCGTTGGAAACGGGATTACATATAAAAAGCAGACAGCAGCATTCTCAGAAAGTTCTTTGTGATGATTGCATTCAAGTCACAGAATTGAACATTCCCTTTCACAGAGCAGGTTTGAAACACTCTTTTTGTAGTGTGTGTAAGTGGACATTTGGAGCGCTTTCCGGCCTAAGGTGAAAAAGGACATATCTTCCCATAAAAACTAGACAGAAGCATTCTCAGAAACTTACTCGTGATGTGTGTCCTCAACTAAAGGAGTAGAACCTTTCTATTCATAGAGAAGTTTTGAAACGCTCTTTTTGTGGAATCTCCAAGTGGATATTTGGCTAGTTTTGAGGATTTCGTTGGAAGCGGGAATTCATACAAATTGCAGACTGCAGCGTTCTGAGAAACATCTTTGTGATGTTTGTATTCAGGACACAGAGATGAACATTCCCTATCATAGAGCAGGTTGGAATCACTCCTTTTGTAGTATGTGGAAGAGGACATTTGGAGCGCTTTCAGGCCTATGTTGAAAAAGGAAATATCTTCCCATAACAACTAGACACAAGCATTCTCAGAAAGTTGTTTGTGATGTGTGCCCTCTACTGACAGAGTTGAACCTTTCTTTTCATAGAGCAGTTTTGAAACACTCTTTTTGTAGAATCCGCAAGAGGATATTTGCATAGCTTTGAGGATTTCGTGGGAAACGGGATTGTCTTCAGGTAAAATCTAGACAGAAGCATTCTCAGAAACTTCTTTGGGATGTTTGCATTCAAGTCACAGAGTAGAACATTCCCTTTGGTAGAGCAGGTTTGAAACACTCTTTTTGTAGTATCTGGAAGTGGACATTTGGAGCGCTTTCAGGCCCATGTTGGAAAGGGAAATATCTTCCCGTAACAACTAGGCAGAAGCATTCTCAGAAACTTATTTGAGATGTGTGTACTCAACTAAGAGAATTGAACCACCGTTTTGAAGGAGCAGTTTTGAAACACTCTTTTTCTGGAATCTGCAAGAGTATATTTGCCTAGCCATGAGGATTTCGTTGGAAACGGGATTGTCTTCAGAGAAAATCTAGACAGAAGCATTCTCAGAAACTTCTTTGGGATGTTTGCATTCAAGTCACAGAGTAGAACATTCCCTTTGGTAGAGCAGGTTTGAAACACTCTTTTTTTAGTATATGGAAGTGGACATTTGGAGCGCTTTCAGGCCTACGTTGGAAAAGGAAATATCTTCCCATAACAACTAGACAGAAGCATTCTCAGAAACTAGTTTCTGATGTGTGTCCTCAACTAACACAGTTGTACATTTCTTTAGACAGAACAGTTTTGAAACACTCTTTTTGTGGAATCTGCAAGTGGATATTGGGCTAGATTTGAGGATTTCGTTGGAAACGGGATTACATATAAAAAGCAGTCAGCAGCATTCTCAGAAAGTTCTTTGTGATGATTGCATTCAAGTCACAGAATTGAACATTCCCTTTCACAGAGCAGGTTTGAAACACTCTTTTTGTAGTGTGTGTAAGTGGACATTTGGAGTGCTTTCCGGCCTAAGGTGAAAAAGGACATATCTTCCCATGAAAACTAGACAGAAGCATTCTCAGAAACTTACTCGTGATGTGTGTCCTCAACTAAAGGAGTAGAACCTTTCTATTCATAGAGAAGTTTTGAAACGCTCTTTTTGTGGAATCTCCAAGTGGATATTTGGCTAGTGTTGAGGATTTCGTTGGAAGCGGGAATTCATACAAATTGCAGACTGCAGCGTTCTGAGAAACATCTTTGTGATGTTTGTATTCAGGACACAGACATGAACATTCCCTATCATAGAGCAGGTTGGAATCACTCCTTTTGTAGTATCTGGAAGTGGACATTTGGAGCGCTTTCAGGCCTATGTTGAAAAAGGAAATATCTTCCCATAACAACTAGACACAAGCATTCTCAGAAACTTGTTTGTGATGTGTGCCCTCTACTGACAGAGTTGAACCTTTCTTTTCATAGAGCAGTTTTGAAACACTCTTTTTGTAGAATCCGCAAGAGGATATTTGCATAGCTTTGAGGATTTCGTGGGAAACGGGATTGTCTTCAGGTAAAATCTAGACAGAAGCATTCTCAGAAACTTCTTTGGGATGTTTGCATTCAAGTCACAGAGTAGAACATTCCCCTTGGTAGAGCAGGTTTGAAACACTCTTTTTGTAGTATCTGGAAGTGGACATTTGGAGCGCTTTCAGGCCCATGTTGGAAAGGGAAATATCTTCCCGTAACAACTAGGCAGAAGCATTCTCAGAAACTTATTTGAGATGTGTGTACTCAAGTAAGAGAACTGAACCACCGTTTTGAAGGAGCAGTTTTGAAACACTCTTTTTCTGGAATCTGCAAGAGTATATTTGCCTAGCCTTGAGGATTTCGTTGGAAACGGGATTGTCTTCAGATAAAATCTAGACAGAAGCATTCTCAGAAACTTCTTTGGGATGTTTGCATTCAAGTCACAGAGTAGAACATTCCCTTTGGTAGAGCAGGTTTGAAACACTCTTTTTTTAGTATATGGAAGTGGACATTTGGAGCGCTTTCAGGCCTACGTTGGAAAAGGAAATATCTTCCCATAACAACTAGACAGAAGCATTCTCAGAAACTAGTTTCTGATGTGTGTCCTCAACTAACACAGTTGAACATTTCTTTAGACAGAACAGTTTTGAAACACTCTTTTTGTGGAATCTACAAGTGGCTATTTGGCTAGATTTGAGGATTTCGTTGGAAACGGGATTACATATAAAAAGCAGACAGCAGCATTCTCAGAAAGTTCTTTGTGATGATTGCATTCAAGTCACAGAATTGAACATTCCCTTTCACAGAGCAGGTTTGAAACACTCTTTTTGTAGTGTGTGTAAGTGGACATTTGGAGCACTTTCCGGCCTAAGGTGAAAAAGGAAATATCTTCCCATAAAAACTAGACAGAAGCATTCTCAGAAACTTACTCGTGATGTGTGTCCTCAACTAAAGGAGTAGAACCTTTCTTTTCATAGAGAAGTTTTGAAACGCTCTTTTTGTGGAATCTGCAAGTGGATATTTGGCTAGTTTTGAAGATTTCGTTGGAAGCGGGAATTCATACAAATTGCAGACTGCAGCGTTCTGAGAAACATCTTTGTGATGTTTGTATTCAGGACACAGAGTTGAACATTCCCTATCATAGAGCAGGTTTGAATCACTCCTTTTGTAGTATCTGGAAGTGGACATTTGGAGCACTTTCAGGCCTATGTTGGAAAAGGAAATATCTTCCCATAACAACTAGACAGAAGCATTCTCAGAAACTTATTTGAGATGTGTGTACTCAACTAAGAGAATTGAACCACCGTTTTGAAGGAGCAGTTTTGAAACACTCTTTTTCTGGAATCTGCAAGTGGATATTTGGCTAGCTTTGGGGATTTCGCTGGAAGCGGGAATACATATAAAAAGCACACAGCAGCGTTCTGAGAAACTGCTTTCTGATGTTTGCATTCAAGTCAAAAGTTGAACACTCCCTTTCATAGAGCAGTCCTGAAACACTCCTTTTGTAGTATCTGGAACTGGACTTTTGGAGCGCTTTCAGGGCTAAGGTGAAAAAGGAAATATCTTCCCATAAAAACTGGACAGAAGCATTCTCAGAAACTTGTTTATGCTGTATCTACTCTACTAACAAAGTTGAACCTTTCTTTTGACAGAGCAGTTTTGAAATGCTCTTTTTGTGGAATCTGCAAGTGGATATTTGGCTAGATTTGAGGATTTCGTTGGAAGCTGGAATTCATACAAATTGCAGACTGCAGCGTTCTGAGAAACATCTTTGTGATGTTTGTATTCAGGACACAGAGTTGAACATTCCCTATCATAGAGCAGGTTGGAATCACTCCTTTTGTAGTATCTGGAAGTGGACATTTGGAGCGCTTTCAGGCCTATTTTGGAAAGGGAAATATCTTCCCGTAACAACTATGCAGAAGCATTCTCAGAAACTTGTTTGTGATGTGTGCCCTCTACTGACAGAGTTGAACCTTTCTTTTCATAGAGCAGTTTTGAAACACTCTTTTTGTAGAATCTGCAAGAGGATATTTGCATAGCTTTGAGGATTTCGTGGGAAACGGGATTGTCTTCAGGTAAAATCTAGACAGAAGCATTCTCAGAAACTTCTTTGGGATGTTTGCATTCAAGTCACAGAGTAGAACATTCCCTTTGGTAGAGCAGGTTTGAAACACTCTTTTTGTAGTATCTGGAAGTGGACATTTGGAGCGCTTCAGGCCCATGTTGGAAAGGGAAATATCTTCCCGTAACAACTAGGCAGAAGCATTCTCAGAAACTTATTTGAGATGGGTGTACTCAACTAAGAGAATTGAACCACCCTTTTCAAGGAGCAGTTTTGAAACACTCTTTTTCTGGAATCTGCAAGAGTATATTTGCCTAGCTTTGAGGATTTCGTTGGAAACGGGATTGTCTTCAGATAAAATCTAGACAGAAGCATTCTCAGAAACTTCTTTGGGATGTTTGCATTCAAGTCACAGAGTAGAACATTCCCTTTGGTAGAGCAGGTTTGAAACACTCTTTTTTTAGTATATGGAAGTGGACATTTGGAGCGCTTTCAGGCCTACGTTGGAAAAGGAAATATCTTCCCATAACAACTAGACAGAAGCATTCTCAGAAACTAGTTTCTGATGTGTGTCCTCAACTAACACAGTTGAACATTTCTTTAGACAGAACAGTTTTGAAACACTCTTTTTGTGGAATCTGCAAGTGGCTATTTGGCTAGATTTGAGGATTTCGTTGGAAACGGGATTACATATAAAAAGCAGACAGCAGCATTCTCAGAAAGTTCTTTGTGATGATTGCATTCAAGTCACAGAATTGAACATTCCCTTTCACAGAGCAGGTTTGAAACACTCTTTTTGTAGTGTGTGTAAGTGGACATTTGGAGCACTTTCCGGCCTAAGGTGAAAAAGGAAATATCTTCCCATAAAAACTAGACAGAAGCATTCTCAGAAACTTACTCGTGATGTGTGTCCTCAACTAAAGGAGCAGAACCTTTCTTTTCATAGAGAAGTTTTGAAACGCTCTTTTTGTGGAATCTGCAAGTGGATATTTGGCTAGTTTGGAGGATTTCGTTGGAAGCGGGAATTCATACAAATTGCAGACTGCAGCGTTCTGAGAAACATCTTTGTGATGTTTGTATTCAGGACACAGAGTTGAACATTCCCTATCATAGAGCAGGTTTGAATCACTCCTTTTGTAGTATCTGGAAGTGGACATTTGGAGCGCTTTCAGGCCTATGTTGGAAAAGGAAATATCTTCCCATAACAACTAGACAGAAGCATTCTCAGAAACTTATTTGAGATGTGTGTACTCAACTAAGAGAATTGAACCACCGTTTTGAAGGAGCAGTTTTGAAACACTCTTTTTCTGGAATCTGCAAGTGGATATTTGGCTAGCTTTGGGGATTTCGCTGGAAGCGGGAATACATATAAAAAGCACACAGCAGCGTTCTGAGAAACTGCTTTCTGATGTTTGCATTCAAGTCAAAAGTTGAACACTCCCTTTCATAGAGCAGTCCTGAAACACTCCTTTTGTAGTATCTGGAACTGGACTTTTGGAGCGCTTTCAGGGCTAAGGTGAAAAAGGAAATATCTTCCCATAAAAACTGGACAGAAGCATTCTCAGAAACTTGTTTATGCTGTATCTACTCAACTAACAAAGTTGAACCTTTCTTTTGATAGAGCAGTTTTGAAATGCTCTTTTTGTGGAATCTGCAAGTGGATATTTGGCTAGTTTTGAGGATTTCGCTGGAAGCGGGAATTCATACAAATTGCAGACTGCAGCGTTCTGAGAAACATCTTTGTGATGTTTGTATTCAGGACAGAGAGTTGAACATTCCCTATCATAGAGCAGGTTGGAATCACTCCTTTTGTAGTATCTGGAAGTGGACATTTGGAGCGCTTTCAGGCCTATGTTGAAAAAGGAAATATCTTCCCATAACAACTAGACACAAGCATTCTCAGAAACTTGTTTGTGATGTGTGCCCTCTACTGACAGAGTTGAACCTTTCTTTTCATAGAGCAGTTTTGAAACACTCTTTTTGTAGAATCTGCAAGAGGATATTTGCATAGCTTTGAGGATTTCGTGGGAAACGGGATTGTCTTCAGGTAAAATCTAGACAGAAGCATTCTCAGAAACTTCTTTGGGATGTTTGCATTCAAGTCACAGAGTAGAACATTCCCTTTGGTAGAGCAGGTTTGAAACACTCTTTTTGTAGTATCTGGAAGTGGACATTTGGAGCGCTTTCAGGCCTATGTTGGAAAAGGAAATATCTTCCCGTAACAACTAGGCAGAAGCATTCTCAGAAACTTATTTGAGATGTGTGTACTCAACTAAGAGAATTGAACCACCGTTTTGAAGGAGCAGTTTTGAAACACTCTTTTTCTGGAATCTGCAAGAGTATATTTGCCTAGCCTTGAGGATTTCGTTGGAAACGGGATTGTCTTCAGAGAAAATCTAGACAGAAGCATTCTCAGAAACTTCTTTGGGATGTTTGCATTCAAGTCACAGAGTAGAACATTCCCTTTGGTAGAGCAGGTTTGAAACACTCTTTTTGTAGTATCTGGAAGTGGACATTTGGAGCGCTTTCAGGCCTACGTTGGAAAAGGAAATATCTTCCCATAACAACTAGACAGAAGCATTCTCAGAAACTAGTTTCTGATGTGTGTCCTCAACTAACACAGTTGAACATTTCTTTAGACAGAACAGTTTTGAAACACTCTTTTTGTGGAATCTGCAAGTGGCTATTTGGCTAGATTTGAGGATTTCGTTGGAAACGGGATTACATATAAAAAGCAGTCAGCAGCATTCTCAGAAAGTTCTTTGTGATGATTGCATTCAAGTCACAGAATTGAACATTCCCTTTCACAGAGCAGGTTTGAAACACTCTTTTTGTAGTGTGTGTAAGTGGACATTTGGAGCACTTACCGGCCTAAGGTGAAAAAGGAAATATCTTCCCATAAAAACTAGACAGAAGCATTCTCAGAAACTTACTCGTGATGTGTGTCCTCAACTAAAGGAGTAGAACCTTTCTTTTCATAGAGAAGTTTTGAAACGCTCTTTTTGTGGAATCTGCAAGTGGATATTTGGCTAGTTTTGAGGATTTCGTTGGAAGCGGGAATTCATACAAATTGCAGACTGCAGCGTTCTGAGAAACATCTTTGTGATGTTTGTATTCAGGACACAGAGTTGAACATTCCCTATCATAGAGCAGGTTGGAATCACTCCTTTTGTAGTATCTGGAAGTGGACATTTGGAGCGCTTTCAGGCCTATGTTGGAAAAGGAAATATCTTCCCATAACAACTAGACAGAAGCATTCTCAGAAACTTATTTGAGATGTGTGTACTCAACTAAGAGAATTGAACCACCGTTTTGAAGGAGCAGTTTTGAAACTCTCTTTTTCTGGAATCTGCAAGTGGATATTTGGCTAGCTTTGGGGATTTCGCTGGAAGCGGGAATACATATAAAAAGCACACAGCAGCGTTCTGAGAAACTGCTTTCTGATGTTTGCATTCAAGTCAAAAGTTGAACACTCCCTTTCATAGAGCAGTCTTGAAACACCCCTTTTGTAGTATCTGGAACTGGACTTTTGGAGCGATTTCAGGGCTAAGGTGAAAAAGGAAATATCTTCCCATAAAAACTGGACAGAAGCATTCTCAGAAACTTGTTTATGCTGTATCTACTCAACTAACAAAGTTGAACCTTTCTTTTGATAGAGCAGTTTTGAAATGGTCTTTTTGTGGAATCTGCAAGTGGATATTTGGCTAGTTTTGAGGATTTCGTTGGAAGCGGGAATTCATACAAATTGCAGACTGCAGCGTTCTGAGAAACATCTTTGTGATGTTTGTATTCAGGACACAGAGTTGAACATTCCCTATCATAGAGCAGGTTGGAATCACTCCTTTTGTAGTATCTGGAAGTGGACATTTGGAGCGCTTTCAGGCCTATTTTGGAAAGGGAAATATCTTCCCGTAACAACTATGCAGAAGCATTCTCAGAAACTTGTTTGTGATGTGTGCCCTCTACTGACAGAGTTGAACCTTTCTTTTCATAGAGCAGTTTTGAAACACTCTTTTTGTAGAATCTGCAAGAGGATATTTGCATAGCTTTGAGGATTTCGTGGGAAACGGGATTGTCTTCAGGTAAAATCTAGACAGAAGCATTCTCAGAAACTTCTTTGGGATGTTTGCATTCAAGTCACAGAGTAGAACATTCCCTTTGGTAGAGCAGGTTTGAAACACTCTTTTTGTAGTATCTGGAAGTGGACATTTGGAGCGCTTTCAGGCCTATGTTGGAAAGGGAAATATCTTCCCGCAACAACTAGGCAGAAGCATTCTCAGAAACTTATTTGAGATGTGTGTACTCAACTAAGAGAATTGAACCACCGTTTTGAAGGAGCAGTTTTGAAACACTCTTTTTCTGGAATCTGCAAGAGTATATTTGCCTAGCCTTGAGGATTTCGTTGGAAACGGGATTGTCTTCAGAGAAAATCTAGACAGAAGCATTCTCAGAAACTTCTTTGGGATGCTTGCATTCAAGTCACAGAGTAGAACATTCCCTTTGGTAGAGCAGGTTTGAAACACTCTTTTTTTAGTATCTGGAAGTGGACATTTGGAGCGCTTTCAGGCCTACGTTGGAAAAGGAAATATCTTCCCATAACAACTAGACAGAAGCATTCTCAGAAACTAGTTTCTGATGTGTGTCCTCAACTAACACAGTTGAACATTTCTTTAGACAGAACAGTTTTGAAACACTCTTTTTGTGGAATCTGCAAGTGGCTATTTGGCTAGATTTGAGGATTTCGTTGGAAACGGGATTACATATAAAAAGCAGTCAGCGGCATTCTCAGAAAGTTCTTTGTGATGATTGCATTCAAGTCACAGAATTGAACATTCCCTTTCACAGAGCAGGTTTGAAACACTCTTTTTGTAGTGTGTGTAAGTGGACATTTGGAGCACTTACCGGCCTAAGGTGAAAAAGGAAATAATCTTCCCATAAAAACTAGACAGAAGCATTCTCAGAAACTTACTCGTGATGTGTGTCCTCAACTAAAGGAGTAGAACCTTTCTTTTCATAGAGAAGTTTTGAAACGCTCTTTTTGTGGAATCTGCAAGTGGATATTTGGCTAGTTTTGAGGATTTCGTTGGAAGCGGGAATTCATACAAATTGCAGACTGCAGCGTTCTGAGAAACATCTTTGTGATGTTTGTATTCAGGACAGAGAGTTGAACATTCCCTATCATAGACCAGGTTGGAATCCCTCCTTTTGTAGTATCTGGAAGTGGACATTTGGAGCGCTTTCAGGCCTATGTTGGAAAAGGAAATATCTTCCCATAACAACTAGACACAAGCATTCTCAGAAACTTATTTGAGATGTGTGTACTCAACTAAGAGAATTGAACCACCGTTTTGAAGGAGCAGTTTTGAAACACTCTTTTTCTGGAATCTGCAAGTGGATATTTGGCTAGCTTTGGGGATTTCGCTGGAAGCGGGAATACATATAAAAAGCACACAGCAGCGTTCTGAGAAACTGCTTTCTGATGTTTGCATTCAAGTCAAAAGTTGAACACTCCCTTTCATAGAGCAGTCTTGAAACACCCCTTTTGTAGTATCTGGAACTGGACTTTTGGAGCGATTTCAGGGCTAAGGTGAAAAAGGAAATATCTTCCCATAAAAACTGGACAGAAGCATTCTCAGAAACTTGTTTATGCTGTATCTACTCAACTAACAAAGTTGAACCTTTCTTTTGATAGAGCAGTTTTGAAATGCTCTTTTTGTGGAATCTGCAAGTGGATATTTGGCTAGTTTTGAGGATTTCGTTGGAAGCGGGAATTCATAAAAATTGCAGACTGCAGCGTTCTGAGAAACATCTTTGTGATGTTTCTATTCAGGACACAGAGATGAACATTCCCTATCATAGAGCAGGTTGGAATCACTCCTTTTGTAGTATCTGGAAGTGGACATTTGGAGCGCTTTCAGGCCTATGTTGAAAAAGGAAATATCTTCCCATAACAACTAGACACAAGCATTCTCAGAAACTTGTTTGTGATGTGTGCCCTCTACTGACAGAGTTGAACCTTTCTTTTCATAGAGCAGTTTTGAAACACTCTTTTTGTAGAATCTGCAAGAGGATATTTGCATAGCTTTGAGGATTTCGTGGGAAACGGGATTGTCTTCAGGTAAAATCTAGACAGAAGCATTCTCAGAAACTTCTTTGGGATGTTTGCATTCAAGTCACAGAGTAGAACATTCCCTTTGGTAGAGCAGGTTTGAAACACTCTTTTTGTAGTATCTGGAAGTGGACATTTGGAGCGCTTTCAGGCCCATGTTGGAAAGGGAAATATCTTCCCGTAACAACTAGGCAGAAGCATTCTCAGAAACTTATTTGAGATGTGTGTACTCAACTAAGAGAATTGAACCACCGTTTTGAAGGAGCAGTTTTGAAACACTCTTTTTCTGGAATCTGCAAGAGTATATTTGCCTAGCCTTGAGGATTTCGTTGGAAACGGGATTGTCTTCAGATAAAATCTAGACAGAAGCATTCTCAGAAACTTCTTTGGGATGTTTGTATTCAAGTCACAGAGTAGAACATTCCCTTTGATAGAGCAGGTTTGAAACACTCTTTTTTTAGTATATGGAAATGGACATTTGGAGCGCTTTCAGGCCTACGTTGGAAAAGGAAATATCTTCCCATAACAACTAGACAGAAGCATTCTCAGAAACTAGTTTCTGATGTGTGTCCTCAACTAACACAGTTGAACATTTCTTTAGACAGAACAGTTTTGAAACACTCTTTTTGTGGAATCTGCAAGTGGCTATTTGGCTAGATTTGAGGATTTCGTTGGAAACGGGATTACATATAAAAAGCAGTCAGCAGCATTCTCAGATAGTTCTTTGTGATGATTGCATTCAAGTCACAGAATTGAAAATTCCCTTTCACAGAGCAGGTTTGAAACACTCTTTTTGTAGTGTGTGTAAGTGGACATTTGGAGCGCTTTCTGGCCTAAGGTGAAAAAGGAAATATCTTCCCACAAAAACTAGACAGAAGCATTCTCAGAAACTTACTCGTGATGTGTGTCCTCAACTAAAGGAGTAGAACCTTTCTTTTCATAGAGAAGTTTTGAAACGCTCTTTTTGTGGAATCTGCAAGTGGATATTTGGCTAGTTTTGAGGATTTCGTTGGAAGCGGGAATTCATACAAATTGCAGACTGCAGCGTTCTGAGAAACATCTTTGTGATGTTTGTATTCAGGACACAGAGTTGAACATTCCCTATCATAGAGTAGGTTTGAATCACTCCTTTTGTAGTATCTGGAAGTGGACATTTGGAGCGCTTTCAGGCCTATGTTGGAAAAGGAAATATCTTCCCATAACAACTAGACAGAAGCATTCTCAGAAACTTATTTGAGATGTGTGTACTCAACTAAGAGAATTGAACCACCGTTTTGAAGGAGCAGTTTTGAAACACTCTTTTTCTGGAATCTGCAAGTGGATATTTGGCTAGCTTTGGGGATTTCGCTGGAAGCGGGAATACATATAAAAAGCACACAGCAGCGTTCTGAGAAACTGCTTTCTGATGTTTGCATTCAAGTCAAAAGTTGAACACTCCCTTTCATAGAGCAGTCTTGAAACACCCCTTTTGTAGTTTCTGGAACTGGACTTTTGGAGCGCTTTCAGGGCTAAGGTGAAAAAGGAAATATCTTCCCATAAAAACTGGACAGAAGCATTCTCAGAAACTTGTTTATGCTGTATCTACTCAACTAACAAAGTTGAACCTTTCTTTTGATAGAGCAGTTTTGAAATGCTCTTTTTGTGGAATCTGCAAGTGGATATTTGGCTAGTTTTGAGGATTTCGTTGGAAGCGGGAATTCATACAAATTGCAGACCTCAGCGTTCTGAGAAACATCTTTGTGATGTTTGTATTCAGGACAGAGAGTTGAACATTCCCTATCATAGAGCAGGTTGGAATCACTCCTTTTGTAGTATCTGGAAGTGGACATTTGGAGCGCTTTCAGGCCTATGTTGAAAAAGGAAATATCTTCCCATAACAACTAGACACAAGCATTCTCAGAAACTTGTTTGTGATGTGTGCCCTCTACTGACAGAGTTGAACCTTTCTTTTCATAGAGCAGTTTTGAAACACTCTTTTTGTAGAATCTGCAAGAGGATATTTGCATAGCTTTGAGGATTTCGTGGGAAACGGGATTGTCTTCAGGTAAAATCTAGACAGAAGCATTCTCAGAAACTTCTTTGGGATGTTTGCATTCAAGTCACAGAGTAGAACATTCCCTTTGGTAGAGCAGGTTTGAAACACTCTTTTTGTAGTATCTGGAAGTGGACATTTGGAGCGCTTTCAGGCCTATGTTGGAAAGGGAAATATCTTCCGGTAACAACTAGGCAGAAGCATTCTCAGAAACTTATTGGAGATGTGTGTACTCAACTAAGAGAATTGAACCACCGTTTTGAAGGAGCAGTTTTGAAACACTCTTTTTCTGGAATCTGCAAGAGGATATTTGCCTAGCCTTGAGGATTTCGTTGGAAACGGGATTGTCTTCAGATCAAATCTAGACAGAAGCATTCTCAGAAACTTCTTTGGGATGTTTGCATTCAAGTCACAGAGTAGAACATTCCCTTTGGTAGAGCAGGTTTGAAACACTCTTTTTTTAGTATATGGAAGTGGACATTTGGAGCGCTTTCAGGCCTACGTTGGAAAAGGAAATATCTTCCCATAACAACTAGACAGAAGCATTCTCAGAAACTAGTTTCTGATGTGTGTCCTCAACTAACACAGTTGTACATTTCTTTAGACAGAACAGTTTTGAAACACTCTTTTTGTGGAATCTGCAAGTGGATATTGGGGTAGATTTGAGGATTTCGTTGGAAACGGGATTACATATAAAAAGCAGTCAGCAGCATTCTCAGAAAGTTCTTTGTGATGATTGCATTCAAGTCACAGAATTGAACATTCCCTTTCACAGAGCAGGTTTGAAACACTCTTTTTGTAGTGTGTGTAAGTGGACATTTGGAGCGCTTTCCGGCCTAAGGTGAAAAAGGAAATATCTTCCCATAAAAACTAGACAGAAGCATTCTCAGAAACTTACTCGTGATGTGTGTCCTCAACTAAAGGAGTAGAACCTTTCTTTTCATAGAGAAGTTTTGAAACGCTCTTTTTGTGGAATCTGCAAGTGGATATTTGGCTAGTTTTGAGGATTTCGTTGGAAGCGGGAATTCATACAAATTGCAGACTGCAGCGTTCTGAGAAACATCTTTGTGATGTTTGTATTCAGGACACAGAGTTGAACATTCCGTATCATAGAGCAGGTTTGAATCACTCCTTTCGTAGTATCTGGAAGTGGACATTTGGAGCGCTTTCAGGCCTATGTTGGAAAAGGAAATATCTTCCCATAACAACTAGACAGAAGCATTCTCAGAAACTTATTTGAGATGTGTGTACTCAACTAAGAGAATTGAACCACCGTTTTGAAGGAGCAGTTTTGAAACACTCTTTTTCTGGAATCTGCAAGTGGATATTTGGCTAGCTTTGGGGATTTCGCTGGAAGCGGGAATACATATAAAAACACACAGCAGCGTTCTGAGAAACTGCTTTCTGATGTTTGCATTCAAGTCAAAAGTTGAACACTCCCTTTCATAGAGCAGTCTTGAAACACCCCTTTTGTAGTATCTGGAACTGGACTTTTGGAGCGATTTCAGGGCTAAGGTGAAAAAGGAAATATCTTCCCATAAAAACTGGACAGAAGCATTCTCAGAAACTTGGTTATGCTGTATCTACTCAACTAACAAAGTTGAACCTTTCTTTTGATAGAGCAGTTTTGAAATGGTCTTTTTGTGGAATCTGCAAGTGGATATTTGGCTAGTTTTGAGGATTTCGTTGGAAGCGGGAATTCATACAAATTGCAGACTGCAAGCGTTCTGAGAAACATCTTTGTGATGTTTGTATTCAGGACACAGCAGTTGAACATTCCCTATCATAGAGCAGGTTGGAATCACTCCTTTTCTAGTATCTGGAAGTGGACATTTGGAGCGCTTTCAGGCCCATGTTGAAAAAGGAAATATCTTCCCATAACAACTAGGCAGAAGCATTCTCAGAAACTTGTTTGTGATGTGTGCCCTCTACTGACAGAGTTGAACCTTTCTTTTCATAGAGCAGTTTTGAAACACTCTTTTTGTAGAATCTGCAAGAGGATATTTGCATAGCTTTGAGGATTTCGTGGGAAACGGGATTGTCTTCAGGTAAAATCTAGACAGAAGCATTCTCAGAAACTTCTTTGGGATGTTTGCATTCAAGTCACAGAGTAGAACATTCCCTTTGGTAGAGCAGGTTTGAAACACTCTTTTTGTAGTATCTGGAAGTGGACATTTGGAGCGCTTTCAGGCCCATGTTGGAAAAGGAAATATCTTCCTGTAACAACTAGGCAGAAGCATTCTCAGAAACTTATTTGAGATGTGTGTACTCAACTAAGAGAATTGAACCACCGTTTTGAAGGAGCAGTTTTGAAACACTCTTTTTCTGGAATCTGCAAGAGGATATTTGCCTAGCCTTGAGGATTTCGTTGGAAACGGGATTGTCTTCAGATCAAATCTAGACAGAAGCATTCTCAGAAACTTCTTTGGGATGTTTGCATTCAAGTCACAGAGTAGAACATTCCCTTTGGTAGAGCAGGTTTGAAACACTCTTTTTTTAGTATATGGAAGTGGACATTTGGAGCGCTTTCAGGCCTACGTTGGAAAAGGAAATATCTTCCCATAACAACTAGACAGAAGCATTCTCAGAAACTAGTTTCTGATGTGTGTCCTCAACTAACACAGTTGAACATTTCTTTAGACAGAACAGTTTTGAAACTCTCTTTTTGTGGAATCTGCAAGTGGCTATTTGGCTAGATTTGAGGATTTCGTTGGAAACGGGATTACATATAAAAAGAAGACAGCAGCATTCTCAGAAAGTTCTTTGTGATGATTGCATTCAAGTCACAGAATTGAACATTCCCTTTCACAGAGCAGGTTTGAAACACTCTTTTTATAGTGTGTGTAAGTGGACATTTGGAACACTTTCCGGCCTAAGGTGAAAAAGGAAATATCTTCCCATAAAAACTAGACAGAAGCATTCTCAGAAACTTACTCGTGATGTGTGTCCTCAACTAAAGGAGTAGAACCTTTGTTTTCATAGAGAAGTTTTGAAACGCTCTTTTTGTGGAATCTGCAAGTGGATATTTGGCTAGTTTGGAGGATTTCGTTGGAAGCGGGAATTCATACAAATTGCAGACTGCAGCGTTCTGAGAAACATCTTTGTGATGTTTGTATTCAGGACACAGAGTTGAACATTCCCTATCATAGAGCAGGTTTGAATCACTCCTTTTGTAGTATCTGGAAGTGGACATTTGGAGCGCTTTCAGGCCTATGTTGGAAAAGGAAATATCTTCCCATAACAACTAGACAGAAGCATTCTCAGAAACTTATTTGAGATGTGTGTACTCAACTAAGAGAATTGAACCACCGTTTTGAAGGAGCAGTTTTGAAGCACTCTTTTTCTGGAATCTGCAAGTGGATATTTGGCTAGCTTTGGGGATTTCGCTGGAAGCGGGAATACATATAAAAAGCACACAGCAGCGTTCTGAGAAACTGCTTTCTGATGTTTGCATTCAAGTCAAAAGTTGAACACTCCCTTTCATAGAGCAGTCTTGAAACACCCCTTTTGTAGTATCTGGAACTGGACTTTTGGAGCGATTTCAGGGCTAAGGTGAAAAAGGAAATATCTTCCCATAAAAACTGGACAGAAGCATTCTCAGAAACTTGTTTATGCTGTATCTACTCAACTAACAAAGTTGAACCTTTCTTTTGATAGAGCAGTTTTGAAATGGTCTTTTTGTGGAATCTGCAAGTGGATATTTGGCTAGTTTTGAGGATTTCGTTGGAAGCGGGAATTCATACAAATTGCAGACTGCAGCGTTCTGAGAAACATCTTTGTGATGTTTGTATTCAGGACACAGAGTTGAACTTTCCCTATCATAGAGCAGGTTGGAATCACTCCTTTTGCAGTATCTGGAAGTGGACATTTGGAGCGCTTTCAGGCCTATTTTGGAAAGGGAAATATCTTCCCGTAACAACTAGGCAGAAGCATTCTCAGAAACTTATTTGAGATGTGTGTACTCAACTAAGAGAATTGAACCACCGCTTTGAAGGAGCAGATTTGAAACACTCTTTTTCTGGAATATGCAAGAGTATATTTGCCTAGCCTTGAAGATTTCGTTGGAAACGGGATTGTCTTCAGATAAAATCTAGACAGAAGCATTCTCAGAAACTTCTTTGGGATGTTTGCATTCAAGTCACAGAGTAGAACATTCCCTTTGGTAGAGCAGGTTTGAAACACTCTTTTTTTAGTATATGGAAGTGGACATTTGGAGCGCTTTCAGGCCTACGTTGGAAAAGGAAATATCTTCCCATAACAACTAGACAGAAGCATTCTCAGAAACTAGTTTCTGATGTGTGTCCTCAACTAACACAGTTGTACATTTCTTTATACAGAACAGTTTTGAAACACTCTTTTTGTGGAATCTGCAAGTGGATATTGGGCTAGATTTGAGGATTTCGTTGGAAACGGGATTACATATAAAAAGCACACAGCAGCATTCTCAGAAAGTTCTTTGTGATGATTGCATTCAAGTCACAGAATTGAACATTCCCTTTCACAGAGCAGGTTTGAAACACTCTTTTTGTAGTGTGTGTAAGTGGACATTTGGAGCGCTTTCCGGCCTAAGGTGAAAAAGGAAATATCTTCCCATAAAAACTAGACAGAAGCATTCTCAGAAACTTACTCGTGATGTGTGTCCTCAACTAAAGGAGTAGAACCTTTCTATTCATAGAGAAGTTTTGAAACGCTCTTTTTGTGGAATCTCCAAGTGGATATTTGGCTAGTTTTGAGGATTTCGTTGGAAGCGGGAATTCATCCAAATTGCAGACTGCAGCATTCTCAGAAACTTGTTTATGCTGTATCTACTCAACTAACAAAGTTGAACCTTTCTTTTGATAGAGCAGTTTTGAAATGCTCTTTTTGTGGAATCTGCAAGTGGATATTTGGCTAGTTTTGAGGATTTCGTTGGAAGCGGGAATTCATACAAATTGCAGACTGCAGCGTTCTGAGAAACATCTTTGTGATGTTTGTATTCAGGACACAGAGTTGAACATTCCCTATCATAGAGCAGGTTGGGATCACTCCTTTTGTAGTATCTGGAAGTGGACATTTGGAGCGCTTTCAGGCCTATGTTGAAAAAGGAAAAATCTTCCCATAACAACTAGACAGAAGCATTCTCAGAAACTTGTTGGTGATGTGTTTCCTCTACTGACAGAGTTGAACCTTTCTTTTCATAGAGCAGTTTCGAAACACTCTTTTTGTAGAATCTGCAAGAGGATATTTGCATAGCTCTGAGGATTTCGTGGGAAACGGGATTGTCTTCAGGTAAAATCTAGACAGAAGCATTCTCAGAAACTTCTTTGGGATGTTTGCATTCAAGTCACAGAGTAGAACATTCCCTTTGGTAGAGCAGGTTTGAAACACTCTTTTTGTAGTATCTGGAAGTGGACATTTGGAGCGCTTTCAGGCCCATGTTGGAAAGGGAAATATCTTCCCGTAACAACTAGGCAGAAGCATTCTCAGAAACTTATTTGCGATGTGTGTACTCAACTAAGAGAATTGAACCACCGTTTTGAAGGAGCAGTTTTGAAACACTCTTTTTCTGGAATCTGCAAGAGTATATTTGCCTAGCCTTGATGATTTCGTTGGAAACGGGATTGTCTTCAGATAAAATCTAGACAGAAGCATTCTCAGAAACTTCTTTGGGATGTTTGCATTCAAGTCACAGAGTAGAACATTCTCTTTGGTAGAGCAGGTTTGAAACACTCTTTTTTTAGTATATGGAAGTGGACATTTGGAGCGCTTTCAGGCCTACGTTGGAAAAGGAAATATCTTCCCATAACAACTAGACAGAAGCATTCTCAGAAACTAGTTTCTGATGTGTGTCCTCAACTAACACAGTTGTACATTTCTTTAGACAGAACAGTTTTGAAACACTCTTTTTGTGGAATCTGCAAGTGGATATTTGGGTAGATTTGAGGATTTCGTTGGAAACGGGATTACATATAAAAAGCAGTCAGCAGCATTCTCAGAAAGTTCTTTGTGATGATTGCATTCAAGTCACAGAATTGAACATTCCCTTTCACAGAGCAGGTTTGAAACACTCTTTTTGTAGTGTGTGTAAGTGGACATTTGGAGCACTTACCGGCCTAAGGTGAAAAAGGAAATATCTTCCCATAAAAACTAGACAGAAGCATTCTCAGAAACTTACTCGTGATGTGTGTCCTCAACTAAAGGAGTAGAACCTTTCTTTTCATAGAGAAGTTTTGAAACGCTCTTTTTGTGGAATCTGCAAGTGGATATTTGGCTAGTTTTGAGGATTTCGTTGGAAGCGGGAATTCACACAAATTGCAGACTGCAGCGTTCTGAGAAACATCTTTGTGATGTTTGTATTCAGGACACAGAGTTGAACATTCCCTATCATAGAGCAGGTTTGAATCACTCCTTTTGTAGTATCTGGAAGTGGACATTTGGAGCGCTTTCAGGCCTATGTTGGAAAAGGAAATATCTTCCCATAACAACTAGACAGAAGCATTCTCAGAAACTTATTTGAGATGTGTGTACTCAACTAAGAGAATTGAACCACCGTTTTGAAGGAGCAGTTTTGAAACACTCTTTTTCTGGAATCTGCAAGTGGATATTTGGCTAGCTTTGGGGATTTCGCTGGAAGCGGGAATACATATGAAAAGCACACAGCAGCGTTCTGAGAAACTGCTTTCTGATGTTTGCATTCAAGTCAAAAGTTGAACACTCCCTTTCATAGAGCAGTCCTGAAACACTCCTTTTGTAGTATCTGGAACTGGACTTTTGGAGCGCTTTCAGGGCTAAGGTGAAAAAGGAAATATCTTCCCATAAAAACTGGACAGAAGCATTCTCAGAAACTTGTTTATGCTGTATCTACTCAACTAACAAAGTTGAACCTTTCTTTTGATAGAGCAGTTTTGAAATGCTCTTTTTGTGGAATCTGCAAGTGGATATTTGGCTAGTTTTGAGGATTTCGCTGGAAGCGGGAATTCATACAAATTGCAGACTGCAGCGTTCTGAGAAACATCTTTGTGATGTTTGTATTCAGGACACAGAGATGAACATTCCCTATCATAGAGCAGGTTGGAATCACTCCTTTTGTAGTATCTGGAAGTGGACATTTGGAGCGCTTTCAGGCCTATGTTGAAAAAGGAAATATCTTCCCATAACAACTAGACACAAGCATTCTCAGAAACTTGTTTGTGATGTGTGCCCTCTACTGACAGAGTTGAACCTTTCTTTTCATAGAGCAGTTTTGAAACACTCTTTTTGTAGAATCTGCAAGAGGATATTTGCATAGCTTTGAGGATTTCGTGGGAAACGGGATTGTCTTCAGGTAAAATCTAGACAGAAGCATTCTCAGAAACTTCTTTGGGATGTTTGCATTCAAGTCACAGAGTAGAACATTCCCTTTGGTAGAGCAGGTTTGAAACACTCTTTTTGTAGTATCTGGAAGTGGACATTTGGAGCGCTTTCAGGCCCATGTTGGAAAGGGAAATATCTTCCCGTAACAACTAGGCAGAAGCATTCTCAGAAACTTATTTGAGATGTGTGTACTCAACTAAGAGAATTGAACCACCGTTTTGAAGGAGCAGTTTTGAAACACTCTTTTTCTGGAATCTGCAAGAGGATATTTGCCTAGCTTTGAGGATTTCGTTGGAAACGGGATTGTGTTCAGATCAAATCTAGACAGAAGCATTCTCAGAAACTTCTTTGGGATGTTTGCATTCAAGTCACAGAGTAGAACATTCCCTTTGGTAGAGCAGGTTTGAAACACTCTTTTTTTAGTATATGGAAGTGGACATTTGGAGTGCTTTCAGGCCTACGTTGGAAAACGAAATATCTTCCCATAACAACTAGACAGAAGCATTCTCAGAAACTAGTTTCTGATGTGTGTCCTCAACTAACACAGTTGAACATTTCTTTAGACAGAACAGTTTTGAAACACTGTTTTTGTGGAATCTGCAAGTGGCTATTTGGCTAGATTTGAGGATTTCGTTGGAAACGGGATTACATATAAAAAGCAGACAGCAGCATTCTCAGAAAGTTCTTTGTGATGATTGCATTCAAGTCACAGAATTGAACATTCCCTTTCACAGAGCAGGTTTGAAACACTCTTTTTGTAGTGTGTGTAAGTGGACATTTGGAGCACTTTCCGGCCTAAGGTGAAAAAGGAAATATCTTCCCATAAAAACTAGACAGAAGCATTCTCAGAAACTTACTCGTGATGTGTGTCCTCAACTAAAGGAGTAGAACCTTTCTTTTCATAGAGAAGTTTTGAAACGCTCTTTTTGTGGAATCTGCAAGTGGATATTTGGCTAGTTTGGAGGATTTCGTTGGAAGCGGGAATTCATACAAATTGCAGACTGCAGCGTTCTGAGAAACATCTTTGTGATGTTTGTATTCAGGACACAGAGTTGAACATTCCCTATCATAGAGCAGGTTTGAATCATTCCTTTTGTAGTATCTGGAAGTGGACATTTGGAGCGCTTTCAGGCCTATGTTGGAAAAGGAAATATCTTCCCATATCAACTAGACAGAAGCATTCTCAGAAACTTATTTGAGATGTGTGTACTCAACTAAGAGAATTGAACCACCGTTTTGAAGGAGCAGTTTTGAAACACTCTTTTTCTGGAATCTGCAAGTGGATATTTGGCTAGCTTTGGGGATTTCGCTGGAAGCGGGAATACATATAAAAAGCACACAGCAGCGTTCTGAGAAACTGCTTTCTGATGTTTGCATTCAAGTCAAAAGTTGAACACTCCCTTTCATAGAGCAGTCCTGAAACACTCCTTTTGTAGTATCTGGAACTGGATTTTTGGAGCGCTTTCAGGGCTAAGGTGAAAAAGGAAATATCTTCCCATAAAAACTGGACAGAAGCATTCTCAGAAACTTGTTTATGCTGTATCTACTCAACTAACAAAGTTGAACCTTTCTTTTGATAGAGCAGTTTTGAAATGCTCTTTTTGTGGAATCTGCAAGTGGATATTTGGCTAGTTTTGAGGATTTCGCTGGAAGCGGGAATTCATACAAATTGCAGACTGCAGCGTTCTGAGAAACATCTTTGTGATGTTTGTATTCAGGACAGAGAGTTGAACATTCCCTATCATAGAGCAGGTTGGAATCACTCCTTTTGTAGTATCTGGAAGTGGACATTTGGAGCGCTTTCAGGCCTATGTTGAAAAAGGAAATATCTTCCCATAACAACTAGACACAAGAATTCTCAGAAACTTGTTTGTGATGTGTGCCCTCCACTGACAGAGTTGAACCTTTCTTTTCATAGAGCAGTTTTGAAACACTCTTTTTGTAGAATCTGCAAGAGGATATTTGCATAGCTTTGAGGGTTTCGTGGGAAACGGGATTGTCTTCAGGTAAAATCTAGACAGAAGCATTCTTAGAAACTTCTTTGGGATGTTTGCATTCAAGTCACAGAGTAGAACATTCCCTTTGGTAGAGCAGGTTTGAAACACTCTTTTTGTAGTATCTGGAAGTGGACATTTGGAGCGCTTTCAGGCCCATGTTGGAAAGGGAAATATCTTCCCGTAACAACTAGGCAGAAGCATTCTCAGAAACTTATTTGAGATGTGTGTACTCAACTAAGAGAATTGAACCACCGTTTTGAAGGAGCAGTTTTGAAACACTCTTTTTCTGGAATCTGCAAGAGTATATTTGCCTAGCCTTGAGGATTTCGTTGGAAACGGGATTGTCTTCAGAGAAAATCTAGACAGAAGCATTCTCAGAAACTTCTTTGGGATGCTTGCATTCCAGTCACAGAGTAGAACATTCCCTTTGGTAGAGCAGGTTTGAAACACTCTTTTTGTAGTATCTGGAAGTGGACATTTGGAGCGCTTTCAGGCCTACGTTGGAAAAGGAAATATCTTCCCATAACAACTAGACAGAAGCATTCTCAGAAACTAGTTTCTGATGTGTGTCCTCAACTAACACAGTTGAACATTTCTTTAGACAGAACAGTTTTGAAACACTCTTTTTGTGGAATCTGCAAGTGGCTATTTGGCTAGATTTGAGGATTTCATTGGAAACGGGATTACATATAAAAAGCAGTCAGCAGCATTCTCAGAAAGTTCTTTGTGATGATTGCATTCAAGTCACAGAATTGAACATTCCCTTTCACAGAGCAGGTTTGAAACACTCTTTTTGTAGTGTGTGTAAGTGGACATTTGGAGCACTTACCGGCCTAAGGTGAAAAAGGAAATATCTTCCCATAAAAACTAGACAGAAGCATTCTCAGAAACTTACTCGTGATGTGTGTCCTCAACTAAAGGAGTAGAACCTTTCTTTTCATAGAGAAGTTTTGAAACGCTCTTTTTGTGGAATCTGCAAGTGGATATTTGGCTAGTTTTGAGGATTTCGTTGGAAGCGGGAATTCATACAAATTGCAGACTGCAGCGTTCTGAGAAACATCTTTGTGATGTTTGTATTCAGGACACAGATTTGAACATTCCCTATCATAGAGCAGGTTTGAATCACTCCTTTTGTAGTATCTGGAAGTGGACATTTGGAGCGCTTTCAGGCCTATGTTGGAAAAGGAAATATCTTCCCATAACAACTAGACAGAAGCATTCTCAGAAACTTATTTGAGATGTGTGTACTCAACTAAGAGAATTGAACCACCGTTTTGAAGGAGCAGTTTTGAAACACTCTTTTTCTGGAATCTGCAAGTGGATATTTGGCTAGCTTTGGGGATTTCGCTGGAAGCGGGAATACATATAAAAAGCACACAGCAGCGTTCTGAGAAACTGCTTTCTGATGTTTGCATTCAAGTCAAAAGTTGAACACTCCCTTTCATAGAGCAGTCTTGAAACACCCCTTTTGTAGTATCTGGAACTGGACTTTTGGAGCGATTTCAGGGCTAAGGTGAAAAAGGAAATATCTTCCCATAAAAACTGGACAGAAGCATTCTCAGAAACTTGTTTATGCTGTATCTACTCAACTAACAAAGTTGAACCTTTCTTTTGATAGAGCAGTTTTGAAATGGTCTTTTTGTGGAATCTGCAAGTGGATATTTGGCTAGTTTTGAGGATTTCGTTGGAAGCGGGAATTCATACAAATTGCAGACTGCAGCGTTCTGAGAAACATCTTTGTGATGTTTGTATTCAGGACACAGAGTTGAACATTCCCTATCATAGAGCAGGTTGGAATCACTCCTTTTGTAGTATCTGGAAGTGGACATTTGGAGCGCTTTCAGGCCTATGTTGAAAAAGGAAATATCTTCCCATAACAACTAGACACAAGCATTCTCAGAAACTTGTTTGTGATGTGTGCCCTCTGCTGACAGAGTTGAACCTTTCTTTTCATAGAGCAGTTTTGAAACACTCTTTTTGTAGAATCTGCAAGAGGATATTTGCATAGCTTTGAGGATTTCGTGGGAAACGGGATTGTCTTCAGGTAAAATCTAGACAGAAGCATTCTCAGAAACTTCTTTGGGATGTTTGCATTCAAGTCACAGAGTAGAACATTCCCTTTGGTAGAGCAGGTTTGAAACCCTCTTTTTGTAGTATCTGGAAGTGGACATTTGGAGCGCTTTCAGGCCCATGTTGGAAAGGGAAATATCTTCCCGTAACAACTAGGCAGAAGCATTCTCAGAAACTTATTTGAGATGTGTGTACTCAACTAAGAGAATTGAACCACCGTTTTGAAGGAACAGTTTTGAAACACTCTTTTTCTGGAAACTGCAAGAGTATATTTGCCTAGCCTTGAAGATTTCGTTGGAAACGGGATTGTCTTCAGATAAAATCTAGACAGAAGCATTCTCAGAAACTTCTTTGGGATGTTTGCATTCAAGTCACAGAGTAGAACATTCCCTTTGGTAGAGCAGGTTTGAAACACTCTTTTTTTAGTATATGGAAGTGGACATTTGGAGCGCTTTCAGGCCTACGTTGGAAAAGGAAATATCTTCCCATAACAACTAGACAGAAGCATTCTCAGAAACTAGTTTCTGATGTGTGTCCTCAACTAACACAGTTGAACTTTTCTTTAGACAGAACAGTTTTGAAACACTCTTTTTGTGGAATCTGCAAGTGGATATTTGGCTAGATTTGAGGATTTCGTTGGAAACGGGATTACATATAAAAAGCAGACAGCAGCATTCTCAGAAAGTTCTTTGTGATGATTGCATTCAAGTCACAGAATTGAACATTCCCTTTCACAGAGCAGGTTTGAGACACTCTTTTTGTAGTGTGTGTAAGTGGACATTTGGAGCGCTTTCCGGCCTAAGGTGAAAAAGGAAATATCTTCCCATAAAAACTAGACAGAAGCATTCTCAGAAACTTACTCGTGATGTGTGTCCTCAACTAAAGGAGTAGAACCTTTCTTTTCATAGAGAAGTTTTGAAACGCTCTTTTTGTGGAATCTGCAAGTGGATATTTGGCTAGTTTTGAGGATTTCGTTGGAAGCGGGAATTCATACAAATTGCAGACTGCAGCGTTCTGAGAAACATCTTTGTGATGTTTGTATTCAGGACACAGAGTTGAACATTCCCTATCATAGAGCAGGTTTGAATC
Organism: Homo sapiens; assembly: GCF_000001405.40. Classification (NCBI taxonomy): domain Eukaryota; kingdom Metazoa; phylum Chordata; class Mammalia; order Primates; family Hominidae; genus Homo; species Homo sapiens. The sequence goes on from NC_000018.10 coordinate 19,149,076, forward strand.
ACTCCTTTTGTAGTATCTGGAAGTGGACATTTGGAGCGCTTTCAGACCTATGTTGGAAAGGGAAATATCTTCCCTTAACAACTAGGCAGAAGCATTCTCAGAAACTTATTTGAGATGTGTGTACTCAACTAAGAGAATTGAACCACCGTTTTGAAGGAGCAGTTTTGAAACACTCTTTTTCTGGAATCTGCAAGTGGATATTTAGCTAGATTTGAGGATTTCGTTGGAAACGGGATTACATATACAAAGCAGACAGCAGCAGTCTCAGAAAGTTCTTTGTGATGATTGCATTCAAGTCACAGAATTGAACATTCCCTTTCACAGAGCAGGTTTGAAACACTCTTTTTGTAGTGTGTGTAAGTGGACATTTGGAGCACTTTCCGGCCTAAGGTGAAAAAGGAAATATCTTCCCATAAAAACTAGACAGAAGCATTCTCAGAAACTTACTCGTGATGTGTGTCCTCAACTAAAGGAGTAGAACCTTTCTTTTCATAGAGAAGTTTTGAAACGCTCTTTTTGTGGAATCTGCAAGTGGATATTTGGCTAGTTTTGAGGATTTCGTTGGAAGCGGGAATTCATACAAATTGCAGACTGCAGCGTTCTGAGAAACATCTTTGTGATGTTTGTATTCAGGACACAGAGTTGAACATTCCCTATCATAGAGCAGGTTGGAATCACTCCTTTTGTAGTATCTGGAAGTGGACATTTGGAGCGCTTTCAGGCCTATGTTGGAAAAGGAAATATCTTCCCATAACAACTAGACAGAAGCATTCTCAGAAACTTATTTGAGATGTGTGTACTCAACTAAGAGAATTGAACCACCGTTTTGAAGGAGCAGTTTTGAAACACTCTTTTTCTGGAATCTGCAAGTGGATATTTGGCTAGCTTTGGGGATTTCGCTGGAAGCGGGAATACATATAAAAAGCACAGAGCAGCGTTCTGAGAAACTGCTTTCTGATGTTTGCATTCAAGTCAAAAGTTGAACACTCCCTTTCATAGAGCAGTCTTGAAACACCCCTTTTGTAGTATCTGGAACTGGACTTTTGGAGCGATTTCAGGGCTAAGGTGAAAAAGGAAATATCTTCCCATAAAAACTGGACAGAAGCATTCTCAGAAACTTGTTTATGCTGTATCTACTCAACTAACAAAGTTGAACCTTTCTTTTGATAGAGCAGTTTTGAAATGCTCTTTTTGTGGAATCTGCAAGTGGATATTTGGCTAGTTTTGAGGATTTCGTTGGAAGCGGGAATTCATACAAATTGCAGACTGCAGCGTTCTGAGAAACATCTTTGTGATGTTTGTATTCAGGACACAGAGTTGAACATTCCCTATCATAGAGCAGGTTTGAATCACTCCTTTTGTAGTATCTGGAAGTGGACATTTGGAGCGCTTTCAGGCCTATGTTGGAAAAGGAAATATCTTCCCATAACAACTAGACAGAAGCATTCTCAGAAACTTATTTGAGATGTGTGTACTCAACTAAGAGAATTGAACCACCGTTTTGAAGGAGCAGTTTTGAAACTCTCTTTTTCTGGAATCTGCAAGTGGATATTTGGCTAGCTTTGGGGATTTCGCTGGAAGCGGGAATACATATAAAAAGCACACAGCAGCGTTCTGAGAAACTGCTTTCTGATGTTTGCATTCAAGTCAAAAGTTGAACACTCCCTTTCATAGAGCAGTCTTGAAACACCCCTTTTGTAGTATCTGGAACTGGACTTTTGGAGCGATTTCAGGGCTAAGGTGAAAAAGGAAATATCTTCCCATAAAAACTGGACAGAAGCATTCTCAGAAACTTGTTTATGCTGTATCTACTCAACTAACAAAGTTGAACCTTTCTTTTGATAGAGCAGTTTTGAAATGGTCTTTTTGTGGAATCTGCAAGTGGATATTTGGCTAGTTTTGAGGATTTCGTTGGAAGCGGGAATTCATACAAATTGCAGACTGCAGCGTTCTGAGAAACATCTTTGTGATGTTTGTATTCAGGACACAGAGTTGAACATTCCCTATCATAGAGCAGGTTGGAATCACTCCTTTTGTAGTATCTGGAAGTGGACATTTGGAGCGCTTTCAGGCCTATGTTGGAAAAGGAAATATCTTCCCATAAACAACTAGACAGAAGCATTCTCAGAAACTTATTTGAGATGTGTGTACTCAACTAAGAGAATTGAACCACCGTTTTGAAGGAGCAGTTTTGAAACTCTCTTTTTCTGGAATCTGCAAGTGGATATTTGGCTAGCTTTGGGGATTTCGCTGGAAGCGGGAATACATATAAAAAGCACACAGCAGCGTTCTGAGAAACTGCTTTCTGATGTTTGCATTCAAGTCAAAAGTTGAACACTCCCTTTCATAGAGCAGTCTTGAAACACCCGTTTTGTAGTATCTGGAACTGGACTTTTGGAGCGATTTCAGGGCTAAGGTGAAAAAGGAAATATCTTCCCATAAAAACTGGACAGAAGCATTCTCAGAAACTTGTTTATGCTGTAACTACTCAACTAACAAAGTTGAACCTTTCTTTTGATAGAGCAGTTTTGAAATGGTCTTTTTGTGGAATCTGCAAGTGGATATTTGGCTAGTTTTGAGGATTTCGTTGGAAGCGGGAATTCATACAAATTGCAGACTGCAGCGTTCTGAGAAACATCTTTGTGATGTTTGTATTCAGGACAGAGAGTTGAACATTCCCTATCATAGAGCAGGTTGGAATCACTCCTTTTGTAGTATCTGGAAGTGGACATTTGGAGCGCTTTCAGGCCTATGTTGAAAAAGGAAATATCTTCCCATAACAACTAGACACAAGCATTCTCAGAAACTTGTTTGTGATGTGTGCCCTCTACTGACAGAGTTGAACCTTTCTTTTCATAGAGCAGTTTTGAAACACTCTTTTTGTAGAATCTGCAAGAGGATATTTGCATAGCTTTGAGGATTTCGTGGGAAACGGGATTGTCTTCAGGTAAAATCTAGACAGAAGCATTCTCAGAAACTTCTTTGGGATGTTTGCATTCAAGTCACAGAGTAGAACATTCCCTTTGGTAGAGCAGGTTTGAAACACTCTTTTTGTAGTATCTGGAAGTGGACATTTGGAGCGCTTTCAGGCCTATGTTGGAAAGGGAAATATCTTCCCGTAACAACTAGGCAGAAGCATTCTCAGAAACTTATTTGAGATGTGTGTACTCAACTAAGAAAATTGAACCACCGTTTTGAAGGAGCAGTTTTGAAACACTCTTTTTCTGGAATCTGCAAGAGGATATTTGCCTAGCTTTGAGGATTTCGTTGGAAACGGGATTGTCTTCAGATCAAATCTAGACAGAAGCATTCTCAGAAACTTCTTTGGGATGTTTGCATTCAAGTCACAGAGTAGAACATTCCCTTTGGTAGAGCAGGTTTGAAACACTCTTTTTTTAGTATATGGAAGTGGACATTTGGAGCGCTTTCAGGCCTACGTTGGAAAAGGAAATATCTTCCCATAACAACTAGACAGAAGCATTCTCAGAAACTAGTTTCTGATGTGTGTCCTCAACTAACACAGTTGAACTTTTCTTTAGACAGAACAGTTTTGAAACACTCTTTTTGTGGAATCTGCAAGTGGATATTTGGCTAGATTTGAGGATTTCGTTGGAAACGGGATTACATATAAAAAGCAGACAGCAGCATTCTCAGAAAGTTCTTTGTGATGATTGCATTCAAGTCACAGAATTGAACATTCCCTTTCACAGAGCAGGTTTGAAACACTCTTTTTGTAGTGTGTGTAAGTGGACATTTGGAGCGCTTTCAGGCCTATGTTGAAAAAGGAAATATCTTCCCATAACAACTAGACACAAGCATTCTCAGAAACTTACTCGTGATGTGTGTCCTCAACTAAAGGAGTAGAACCTTTCTTTTCATAGAGAAGTTTTGAAACGCTCTTTTTGTGGAATCTGCAAGTGGATATTTGGCTAGTTTTGAGGATTTCGTTGGAAGCGGGAATTCATACAAATTGCAGACTGCAGCGTTCTGAGAAACATCTTTGTGATGTTTGTATTCAGGACACAGAGTTGAACGTTCCCTATCATAGAGCAGGTTTGAATCACTCCTTTTGTAGTATCTGGAAGTGGACATTTGGAGCGCTTTCCGGCCTCAGGTGAAAAAGGAAATATCTTCCCATAAAAACTAGACAGAAGCATTCTCAGAAACTTATTTGTGATGTGTGTCCTCAACTGACAGAGTTGAACATTTCTTTTGAGAGAGCAGTTTTGAAACACTCTTTTTGTGGAATCTGCAAGTGGATATTTGGCTGGCTTTGAGGATTTCGTTGGAAACGGGAATACATATAAAAAGCAGACAGCAGCATTCTCAGAAAGTTCTTTGTGATGATTGCATTCAAGTCACAGAATTGAACATTCCCTTTCACAGAGCAGGTTTGAAACACTCTTTTTGTAGTGTGTGTAAGTGGACATTTGGAGCACTTTCCGGCCTAAGGTGAAAAAGGAAATATCTTCCCATAAAAACTAGACAGAAGCATTCTCAGAAACTTACTCGTGATGTGTGTCCTCAGCTAAAGGAGTAGAACCTTTCTTTTCATAGAGAAGTTTTGAAACGCTCTTTTTGTGGAATCTGCAAGTGGATATTTGGCTAGTTTTGAGGATTTCGTTGGAAGCGGGAATTCATACAAATTGCAGACTGCAGCGTTCTGAGAAACATCTTTGTGATGTTTGTATTCAGGACACAGAGTTGAACATTCCCTATCATAGAGCAGGTTTGAATCACTCCTTTTGTAGTATCTGGAAGTGGACATTTGGAGCGCTTTCAGGCCTATGTTGGAAAAGGAAATATCTTCCCATAACAACTAGACAGAAGCATTCTCAGAAACTTATTTGAGATGTGTGTACTCAACTAAGAGAATTGAACCACCGTTTTGAAGGAGCAGTTTTGAAACACTCTTTTTCTGGAATCTGCAAGTGGATATTTGGCTAGCTTTGGGGATTTCGCTGGAAGCGGGAATACATATAAAAAGCACACAGCAGCGTTCTGAGAAACTGCTTTCTGATGTTTGCATTCAAGTCAAAAGTTGAACACTCCCTTTCATAGAGCAGTACTGAAACACCCCTTTTGTAGTATCTGGAACTGGACTTTTGGAGCGCTTTCAGGGCTAAGGTGAAAAAGGAAATATCTTCCCATAAAAACTGGACAGAAGCATTCTCAGAAACTTGTTTATGCTGTATCTACTCAACTAACAAAGTTGAACCTTTCTTTTGATAGAGCAGTTTTGAAATGCTCTTTTTGTGGAATCTGCAAGTGGATATTTGGCTAGTTTTGAGGATTTCGTTGGAAGCGGGAATTCATACAAATTGCAGACTGCAGCGTTCTGAGAAACATCTTTGTGATGTTTGTATTCAGGACAGAGAGTTGAACATTCCCTATCATAGACCAGGTTGGAATCCCTCCTTTTGTAGTATCTGGAAGTGGACATTTGGAACGCTTTCAGGCCTATGTTGGAAAAGGAAATATCTTCCCATAACAACTAGACACAAGCATTCTCAGAAACTTGTTTGTGATGTGTGCCCTCTACTGACAGAGTTGAACCTTTCTTTTCATAGAGCAGTTTTGAAACACTCTTTTTGTAGAATCTGCAAGAGGATATTTGCATAGCTTTGAGGATTTCGTGGGAAACGGGATTGTCTTCAGGAAAAATCTAGACAGAAGCATTCTCAGAAACTTCTTTGGGATGTTTGCATTCAAGTCACAGAGCAGAACATTCCCTTTGGTAGAGCAGGTTTGAAACACTCTTTTTGTAGTATCTGGAAGTGGACATTTGGAGTGCTTTCAGGCCTATGTTGGAAAGGGAAATATCTTCCCGTAACAACTAGGCAGAAGCATTCTCAGAAACTTATTTGAGATGTGTGTACTCAACTAAGAGAATTGAACCACCGTTTTGAAGGAGCAGTTTTGAAACACTCTTTTTCTGGAATCTGCAAGAGGATATTTGCCTAGCCTTGAGGATTTCGTTGGAAACGGGATTGTCTTCAGATCAAATCTAGACAGAAGCATTCTCAGAAACTTCTTTGGGATGTTTGCATTCAAGTCACAGAGTAGAACATTCCCTTTGGTAGAGCAGGCTTGAAGCCCTCTTTTTTTAGTATATGGAAGTGGACATTTGGAGCGCTTTCCGGCCTACGTTGGAAAAGGAAATATCTTCCCATAACAACTAGACAGAAGCATTCTCAGAAACTAGTTTCTGATGTGTGTCCTCAACTAACACAGTTGAACATTTCTTTAGACAGAACAGTTTTGAAACACTCTTTTTGTGGAATCTGCAAGTGGCTATTTGGCTAGATTTGAGGATTTCGTTGGAAAGGGGATTACATATAAAAAGCAGACAGCAGCATTCTCAGAAAGTTCTTTGTGATGATTGCATTCAAGTCACAGAATTGAACATTCCCTTTCACAGAGCAGGTTTGAAACACTCTTTTTGTAGTGTGTGTAAGTGGACATTTGGAGCGCTTTCCGGCCTAAGGTGAAAAAGGAAATATCTTCCCATAAAAACTAGACAGAAGCATTCTCAGAAACTTACTCGTGATGTGTGTCCTCAACTAAAGGAGTAGAACCTTTCTATTCATAGAGAAGGTTTGAAACGCTCTTTTTGTGGAATCTCCAAGTGGATATTTGGCTAGTTTTGAGGATTTCGTTGGATGCGGGAATTCATACAAATTGCAGACTGCAAGCGTTCTGAGAAACATCTTTGTGATGTTTGTATTCAGGACACAGAGATGAACATTCCCTATCATAGAGCAGGTTGGAATCACTCCTTTTGTAGTATCTGGAAGTGGACATTTGGAGCGCTTTCAGGCCTATGTTGAAAAAGGAAATATCTTCCCATAACAACTAGACACAAGCATTCTCAGAAACTTATTTGAGATGTGTGTACTCAACTAAGAGAATTGAACCACCGTTTTGAAGGAGCAGTTTTGAAACTCTCTTTTTCTGGAATCTGCAAGTGGATATTTGGCTAGCTTTGGGGATTTCGCTGGAAGCGGGAATACATATAAAAAGCACACAGCAGCGTTCTGAGAAACTGCTTTCTGATGTTTGCATTCAAGTCAAAAGTTGAACACTCCCTTTCATAGAGCAGTCCTGAAACACCCCTTTTGTAGTATCTGGAACTGGACTTTTGGAGCGATTTCAGGGCTAAGGTGAAAAAGGAAATATCTTCCCATAAAAACTGGACAGAAGCATTCTCAGAAACTTGTTTATGCTGTATCTACTCAACTAACAAAGTTGAACCTTTCTTTTGATAGAGCAGTTTTGAAATGGTCTTTTTGTGGAATCTGCAAGTGGATATTTGGCTAGTTTTGAGGATTTCGTTGGAAGCGGGAATTCATACAAATTGCAGACTGCAGCGTTCTGAGAAACATCTTTGTGATGTTTGTATTCAGGACACAGAGATGAACATTCCCTATCATAGAGCAGGTTGGAATCACTCCTTTTGTAGTATCTGGAAGTGGACATTTGGAGCGCTTTCAGGCCTATGTTGAAAAAGGAAATATCTTCCCATAACAACTAGACACAAGCATTCTCAGAAACTTGTTTGTGATGTGTGCCCTCTACTGACAGAGTTGAACCTTTCTTTTCATAGAGCAGTTTTGAAACACTCTTTTTGTAGAATCTGCAAGAGGATATTTGCATAGCTTTGAGGATTTCGTGGGAAACGGGATTGTCTTCAGGTAAAATCTAGACAGAAGCATTCTCAGAAACTTCTTTGGGATGTTTGCATTCAAGTCACAGAGTAGAACATTCCCTTTGGTAGAGCAGGTTTGAAACACTCTTTTTGTAGTATCTGGAAGTGGACATTTGGAGCGCTTTCAGGCCTATGTTGGAAAGGGAAATATCTTCCCGTAACAACTAGGCAGAAGCATTCTCAGAAACTTATTTGAGATGTGTGTACTCAACTAAGAGAATTGAACCACCCTTTTGAAGGAGCAGTTTTGAAACACTCTTTTTCTGGAATCTGCAAGAGGATATTTGCCTAGCCTTGAGGATTTCGTTGGAAACGGGATTGTCTTCAGATCAAATCTAGACAGAAGCATTCTCAGAAACTTCTTTGGGATGTTTGCATTCAAGTCACAGAGTAGAACATTCCCTTTGGTAGAGCAGGTTTGAAACACTCTTTTTTTAGTATATGGAAGTGGACATTTGGAGCGCTTTCAGGCCTACGTTGGAAAAGGAAATATCTTCCCATAACAACTAGACAGAAGCATTCTCAGAAACTATTTTCTGATGTGTGTCCTCAACTAACACAGTTGAACTTTTCTTTAGACAGAACAGTTTTGAAACACTCTTTTTGTGGAATCTACAAGTGGATATTGGGCTAGATTTGAGGATTTCGTTGGAAACGGGATTACATATAAAAAGCAGTCAGCAGCATTCTCAGAAAGTTCTTTGTGATGATTGCATTCAAGTCACAGAATTGAACATTCCCTTTCACAGAGCAGGTTTGAAACACTCTTTTTGTAGTGTGTGTATTTGGACATTTGGAGCGCTTTCCGGCCTAAGGTGAAAAAGGACATATCTTCCCATAAAAACTAGACAGAAGCATTCTCAGAAACTTACTCGTGATGTGTGTCCTCAACTAAAGGAGTAGAACCTTTCTATTCATAGAGAAGTTTTGAAACGCTCTTTTTGTGGAATCTCCAAGTGGATATTTGGCTAGTTTTGAGGATTTCGTTGGAAGCGGGAATTCATACAAATTGCAGACTGCAGCGTTCTGAGAAACATCTTTGTGATGTTTGTATTCAAGACACAGAGATGAACATTCCCTATCATAGAGCATGTTGGAATCACTCCTTTTGTAGTATCTGGAAGTGGACATTTGGAGCGCTTTCAGTCCTATGTTGAAAAAGGAAATATCTTCCCATAACAACTAGACACAAGCATTCTCAGAAACTTGTTTGTGATGTGTGCCCTCTACTGACAGAGTTGAACCTTTCTTTTCATAGAGCAGTTTTGAAACACTCTTTTTGTAGAATCCGCAAGAGGATATTTGCATAGCTTTGAGGATTTCGGGGGAAACGGGATTGTCTTCAGGTAAAATCTAGACAGAAGCATTCTCAGAAACTTCTTTGGGATGTTTGCATTCAAGTCACAGAGTAGAACATTCCCTTTGGTAGAGCAGGTTTGAAACACTCTTTTTGTAGTATCTGGAAGTGGACATTTGGAGCACTTTCAGGCCCATGTTGGAAAGGGAAATATCTTCCCGTAACAACTAGGCAGAAGCATTCTCTGAAACTTTTTTGAGATGTGTGTACTCAACTAAGAGAATTGAACCACCGTTTTGAAGGAGCAGTTTTGAAACACTCTTTTTCTGGAATCTGCTAGACGATATTTGCCTAGCCTTGAGGATTTCGTTGGAAACGGGATTGTCTTCAGATAAAATCTAGACAGAAGCATTCTCAGAAACTTCATTGGGATGTTTGTATTCAAGTCACAGAGTAGAACATTCCCTTTGATAGAGCAGGTTTGAAACACTCTTTTTTTAGTATATGGAAATGGACATTTGGAGCGCTTTCAGGCCTACGTTGGAAAAGGAAATATCTTCCCGTAACAACTAGACAGAAGCATTCTCAGAAACTAGTTTCTGATGTGTGTCCTCAACTAACACAGTTGAACTTTTCTTTAGACAGAACAGTTTTGAAACACTCTTTTTGTGGAATCTGCAAGTGGATATTTGGCTAGATTTGAGGATTTCGTTGGAAACGGGATTACATATAAAAAGCAGACAGCAGCATTCTCAGAAAGTTCTTTGTGATGATTGCATTCAAGTCACAGAATTGAACATTCCCTTTCACAGAGCAGGTTTGAAATCCTCTTTTTGTAGTGTGTGTAAGTGGACATTTGGAGCGCTTTCCGGCCTAAGGTGAAAAAGGAAATATCTTCCCATAAAAACTAGACAGAAGCATTCTCAGAAACTTACTCGTGATGTGTGTCCTCAACTAAAGGAGTAGAACATTTCTATTCATAGAGAAGTTTTGAAACGCTCTTTTTGTGGAATCTCCAAGTGGATATTTGGCTAGTTTTGAGGATTTCGTTGGAAGCGGGAATTCATACAAATTGCAGACTGCAGCGTTCTGAGAATCATCTTTGTGATGTTTGTATTCAGGACACAGAGATGAACATTCCCTATCATAGAGTAGGTTGGAATCACTCCTTTTGTAGTATCTGGAAGTGGACATTTGGAGCGCTTTCAGTCCTATGTTGAAAAAGGAAATATCTTCCCACAACAACTAGACACAAGCATTCTCAGAAACTTATTTGAGATGTGTGTACTCAACTAAGAGAATTGAACCACCGTTTTGAAGGAGCAGTTTTGAAACTCTCTTTTTCTGGAATCTGCAAGTGGATATTTGGCTAGCTTTGGGGATTTCGCTGGAAGCGGGAATACATATAAAAAGCACACAGCAGCGTTCTGAGAAACTGCTTTCTGATGTTTGCATTCAAGTCAAAAGTTGAACACTCCCTTTCATAGAGCAGTCTTGAAACACCCCTTTTGTAGTATCTGGAACTGGACTTTTGGAGCGCTTTCAGGGCTAAGGTGAAAAAGGAAATATCTTCCCATAAAAACTGGACAGAAGCATTCTCAGAAACTTGTTTATGCTGTATCTACTCAACTAACAAAGTTGAACCTTTCTTTTGATAGAGCAGTTTTGAAATGGTCTTTTTGTGGAATCTGCAAGTGGATATTTGGCTAGTTTTGAGGATTTCGTTGGAAGCGGGAATTCATACAAATTGCAGACTGCAGCGTTCTGAGAAACATCTTTGTGATGTTTGTATTCAGGACAGAGAGTTGAACATTCCCTATCATAGAGCAGGTTGGAATCACTCCTTTTGTAGTATCTGGAAGTGGACATTTGGAGCGCTTTCTGGCCTATGTTGAAAAAGGAAATATCTTCCCATAACAACTAGACACAAGCATTCTCAGAAACTTGTTTGTGATGTGTGCCCTCTACTGACAGAGTTGAACCTTTCTTTTCATAGAGCAGTTTTGAAACACTCTTTTTGTAGAATCTGCAAGAGGATATTTGCATAGCTTTGAGGATTTCGTGGGAAACGGGATTGTCTTCAGGTAAAATCTAGACAGAAGCATTCTCAGAAACTTCTTTGGGATGTTTGCATTCAAGTCACAGAGTAGAACATTCCCTTTGGTAGAGCAGGTTTGAAACACTCTTTTTGTAGTATCTGGAAGTGGACATTTGGAGCGCTTTCAGGCCTATGTTGGAAAGGGAAATATCTTCCCGTAACAACTAGGCAGAAGCATTCTCAGAAACTTATTTGAGATGTGTGTACTCAACTAAGAGAATTGAACCACCGTTTTGAAGGAGCAGTTTTGAAACACTCTTTTTCTGGAATCTGCAAGAGGATATTTGCCTAGCCTTGAGGATTTCGTTGGAAACGGGATTGTCTTCAGATCAAATCTAGACAGAAGCATTCTCAGAAACTTCTTTGGGATGTTTGCATTCAAGTCACAGAGTAGAACATTCCCTTTGGTAGAGCAGGTTTGAAACACTCTTTTTTTAGTATATGGAAGTGGACATTTGGAGCGCTTTCAGGCCTACGTTGGAAAATGAAATATCTTCCCATAACAACTAGACAGAAGCATTCTCAGAAACTAGTTTCTGATGTGTGTCCTCAACTAACACAGTTGAGCATTTCTTTAGACAGAACAGTTTTGAAACACTCTTTTTGTGGAATCTGCAAGTGGCTATTTGGCTAGATTTGAGGATTTCGTTGGAAACGGGATTACATATAAAAAGCAGACAGCAGCATTCTCAGAAAGTTCTTTGTGATGATTGCATTCAAGTCACAGAATTGAACATTCCCTTTCACAGAGCAGGTTTGAAACACTCTTTTTGTAGTGTGTGTAAGTGGACATTTGGAGCACTTTCCGGCCTAAGGTGAAAAAGGAAATATCTTCCCATAAAAACTAGACAGAAGCATTCTCAGAAACTTACTCGTGATGTGTGTCCTCAACTAAAGGAGTAGAACCTTTCTTTTCATAGAGAAGTTTTGAAACGCTCTTTTTGTGGAATCTGCAAGTGGATATTTGGCTAGTTTTGAGGATTTCGTTGGAAGCGGGAATTCATACAAATTGCAGACTGCAGCGTTCTGAGAAACATCTTTGTGATGTTTGTATTCAGGACACAGAGTTGAACATTCCCTATCATAGAGCAGGTTGGAATCACTCCTTTTGTAGTATCTGGAAGTGGACATTTGGAGCGCTTTCAGGCCTATGTTGGAAAAGGAAATATCTTCCCATAACAACTAGACAGAAGCATTCTCAGAAACTTATTTGAGATGTGTGTACTCAACTAAGAGAATTGAACCACCGTTTTGAAGGAGCAGTTTTGAAACTCTCTTTTTCTGGAATCTGCAAGTGGATATTTGGCTAGCTTTGGGGATTTCGCTGGAAGCGGGAATACATATAAAAAGCACACAGCAGCCGTTCTGAGAAACTGCTTTCTGATGTTTGCATTCAAGTCAAAAGTTGAACACTCCCTTTCATAGAGCAGTCTTGAAACACCCGTTTTGTAGTATCTGGAACTGGACTTTTGGAGCGATTTCAGGGCTAAGGTGAAAAAGGAAATATCTTCCCATAAAAACTGGACAGAAGCATTCTCAGAAACTTGTTTATGCTGTATCTACTCAACTAACAAAGTTGAACCTTTCTTTTGATAGAGCAGTTTTGAAATGGTCTTTTTGTGGAATCTGCAAGTGGATATTTGGCTAGTTTTGAGGATTTCGTTGGAAGCGGGAATTCATACAAATTGCAGACTGCAGCGTTCTGAGAAACATCTTTGTGATGTTTGTATTCAGGACACAGAGTTGAACATTCCCTATCATAGAGCAGGTTGGAATCACTCCTTTTGTAGTATCTGGAAGTGGACATTTGGAGCGCTTTCAGGCCTATTTTGGAAAGGGAAATATCTTCCCGTAACAACTATGCAGAAGCATTCTCAGAAACTTGTTTGTGATGTGTGCCCTCTACTGACAGAGTTGAACCTTTCTTTTCATAGAGCAGTTTTGAAACACTCTTTTTGTAGAATCTGCAAGAGGATATTTGCATAGCTTTGAGGATTTCGTGGGAAACGGGATTGTCTTCAGGTAAAATCTAGACAGAAGCATTCTCAGAAACTTCTTCGTGATGTTTGCATTCAAGTCACAGAGCAGAACATTCCCTTTGGTAGAGCAGGTTTGAAACACTCTTTTTGTAGTATCTGGAAGTGGACATTTGGAGTGCTTTCAGGCCTATGTTGGAAAGGGAAATATCTTCCCGTAACAACTAGGCAGAAGCATTCTCAGAAACTTATTTGAGATGTGTGTACTCAACTAAGAGAATTGAACCACCGTTTTGAAGGAGCAGTTTTGAAACACTCTTTTTCTGGAATCTGCAAGAGGATATTTGCCTAGCCTTGAGGATTTCGTTGGAAACGGGATTGTCTTCAGATAAAATCTAGACAGAGGCATTCTCAGAAACTTCTTTGGGATGTTTGCATTCAAGTCACAGAGTAGAATATTCCCTTTGGTAGAGCAGGTTTGAAACACTCTTTTTTTCGTATATGGAAGTGGACATTTGGAGCGCTTTCAGGCCTACGTTGGAAAAGGAAATATCTTCCCATAACAACTAGACAGAAGCATTCTCAGAAACTAGTTTCTGATGTGTGTCCTCAGCTAACACAGTTGAACTTTTCTTTAGACAGAACAGTTTTGAAACACTCTTTTTGTGGAATCTGCAAGTGGATATTTGGCTAGATTTGAGGATTTCGTTGGAAACGGGATTACATATAAAAAGCAGACAGCAGCATTCTCAGAAAGTTATATGGGATGATTGCATTCAAGTCACAGAATTGAACATTCCCTTTCACAGAGCAGGTTTGAAACACTCTTTTTGTAGTGTGTGTAAGTGGACATTTGGAGCGCTTTCCGGCCTAAGGTGAAAAAGGAAATATCTTCCCATAAAAACTAGACAGAAGCATCCTCAGAAACTTACTCGTGATGTGTTTCCTCAACTAAAGGAGTACAACCTTTCTATTCATAGAGAAGTTTTGAAACGCTCTTTTTGTGGAATCTCCAAGTGGATATTTGGCTAGTTTTGAGGATTTCGTTGGAAGCGGGAATTCATACAAATTGCAGACTGCAGCGTTCTGAGAAACATCTTTGTGATGTTTGTATTCAGGACACAGAGATGAACATTCCCTATCATAGAGCATGTTGGAATCACTCCTTTTGTAGTATCTGGAAGTGGACATTTGGAGCGCTTTCAGGCCTATGTTGAAAAAGGAAATATCTTCCCATAACAACTAGACACAAGCATTCTCAGAAACTTATTTGAGATGTGTGTACTCAACTAAGAGAATTGAACCACCGTTTTGAAGGAGCAGTTTTGAAACACTCTTTTTCTGGAATCTGCAAGTGGATATTTGGCTAGCTTTGGGTATTTCGCTGGAAGCGGGAATACATATAAAAAGCACACAGCAGCGTTCTGAGAAACTGCTTTCTGATGTTTGCATTCAAGTCAAAAGTTGAACACTCCCTTTCATAGAGCAGTCCTGAAACACTCCTTTTGTAGTATCTGGAACTGGACTTTTGGAGCGCTTTCAGGGCTAAGGTGAAAAAGGAAATATCTTCCCATAAAAACTGGACAGAAGCATTCTCAGAAACTTGTTTATGCTGTATCTACTCAACTAACAAAGTTGAACCTTTCTTTTGATAGAGCAGTTTTGAAATGGTCTTTTTGTGGAATCTGCAAGTGGATATTTGGCTAGTTTTGAGGATTTCGTTGGAAGCGGGAATTCATACAAATTGCAGACTGCAGCGTTCTGAGAAACATCTTTGTGATGTTTTTATTCAGGAAACAGAGTTGAACATTCCCTGTCCTAGAGCAGGTTGGAATCACTCCTTTTGTAGTATCTGGAAGTGGACATTTGGAGCGCTTTCAGGCCTATTTTGGAAAGGGAAATATCTTCCCATAACAACTATGCAGAAGCATTCTCAGAAACTTGTTTGTGATGTGTGCCCTCTACTGACAGAGTTGAACCTTTCTTTTCATAGAGCAGTTTTGAAACACTCTTTTTGTAGAATCTGCAAGAGGATATTTGCATAGCTTTGAGGATTTCGTGGGAAACGGGATTGTCTTCAGGTAAAATCTAGACAGAAGCATTCTCAGAAACTTCTTTGGGATGTTTGCATTCAAGTCACAGAGTAGAACATTCCCTTTGGTAGAGCAGGTTTGAAACACTCTTTTTGTAGTATCTGGAAGTGGACATTTGGAGCGCTTTCAGACCCATGTTGGAAAGGGAAATATCTTCCCGTAACAACTAGGCAGAAGCATTCTCAGAAACTTATTTGAGATGTGTGGACTCAACTAAGAGAATTGAACCACCGTTTTGAAGGAGCAGTTTTGAAACCCTCTTTTTCTGGAATCTGCAAGAGTATATTTGCCTAGCCTTGAGGATTTCGTTGGAAACGGGATTGTCTTCAGATAAAATCTAGACAGAAGCATTCTCAGAAACTTCTTTGGGATGTTTGCATTCAAGTCACAGAGTAGAACATTCCCTTTGGTAGAGCAGGTTTGAAACACTCTTTTTTTAGTATATGGAAGTGGACATTTGGAGCGCTTTCAGGCCTACGTTGGAAAAGGAAATATCTTCCCATAACAACTAGACAGAAGCATTCTCAGAAACTAGTTTCTGATGAGTGTCCTCAACTAACACAGTTGAACTTTTCTTTAGACAGAACACTTTTGAAACACTCTTTTTGTGGAATCTGCAAATGGATATTTGGCTAGATTTGAGGATTTCGTTGGAAACGGGATTACATATAAAAAGCAGTCAGCAGCATTCTCAGAAAGTTCTTTGTGATGATTGCATTCAAGTCACAGAATTGAACATTCCCTTTCCAGAGCAGGTTTGAAACACTCTTTTTGTAGTGTGTGTAAGTGGACATTTGGAGCGCTTTCCGGCCTAAGGTGAAAAAGGACATATCTTCCCATAAAAACTAGACAGAAGCATTCTCAGAAACTTACTCGTGATGTGTGTCCTCAACTAAAGGAGTAGAACCTTTCTATTCATAGAGAAGTTTTGAAACGCTCTTTTTGTGGAATCTCCAAGTGGATATTTGGCTAGTTTTGAGGATTTCGTTGGAAGCGGGAATTCATACAAATTGCAGACTGCAGCGTTCTGAGAAACATCGTTGTGATGTTTGTATTCAGGACACAGAGTTGAACATTCCCTATCATAGAGCAGGTTTGAATCACTCCTTTTGTAGTATCTGGAAGTGGACATTTGGAGCGCTTTCAGGCCTATGTTGGAAAAGGAAATATCTTCCCATAACAACTAGACAGAAGCATTCTCAGAAACTTATTTGAGATGTGTGTACTCAACTAAGAGAATTGAACCACCGTTTTGAAGGAGCAGTTTTGAAACACTCTTTTTCTGGAATCTGCAAGTGGATATTTGGCTAGCTTTGGGGATTTCGCTGGAAGCGGGAATACATATAAAAAGCACACAGCAGCGTTCTGAGAAACTGCTTTCTGATGTTTGCATTCAAGTCAAAAGTTGAACACTCCCTTTCATAGAGCAGTCTTGAAACACCCCTTTTGTAGTATCTGGAACTGGACATTTGGAGCGCTTTCAGGGCTAAGGTGAAAAAGGAAATATCTTCCCATAAAAACTGGACAGAAGCATTCTCAGAAACTTGTTTATGCTGTATCTACTCAACTAACAAAGTTGAACCTTTCTTTTGATAGAGCAGTTTTGAAATGCTCTTTTTGTGGAATCTGCAAGTGGATATTTGGCTAGGTTTGAGGATTTCGTTGGAAGCGGGAATTCATACAAATTGCAGACTGCCAGCGTTCTGAGAAACATCTTTGTGATGTTTGTATTCAGGACACAGAGTTGAACATTCCCTATCATAGAGCAGGTTGGAATCACTCCTTTTGTAGTATCTGGAAGTGGACATTTGGAGCGCTTTCAGGCCTATGTTGAAAAAGGAAATATCTTCCCATAACAACTAGACACAGCATTCTCAGAAACTTGTTTGTGATGTGTGCCCTCTACTGACAGAGTTGAACCTTTCTTTTCATAGAGCAGTTTTGAAACACTCTTTTTGTAGAATCTGCAAGAGGATATTTGCATAGCTTTGAGGATTTCGTGGGAAACGGGATTGTCTTCAGGTAAAATCTAGACAGAAGCATTCTCAGAAACTTCTTTGGGATGTTTGCATTCAAGTCACAGAGTAGAACATTCCCTTTGGTAGAGCTGGTTTCAAACACTCTTTTTGTAGTATCTGGAAGTGGACATTTTTAGGGCTTTCAGGCCCATGTTGGAAAGGGAAATATCTTCCCGTAACAACTAGGCAGAAGCATTCTCAGAAACTTATTTGAGATGTGTATACTCAACTAAGAGAATTGAACCACTGTTTTGAAGGAGCAGTTTTGAAACACTCTTTTTCTGGAATCTGCAAGAGGATATTTGCCTAGCCTTGAGGATTTCGTTGGAAACGGGATTGTCTTCAGATCAAATCTAGACAGAAGCATTCTCAGAAACTTCTTTGGGATGCTTGCATTCAAGTCACAGAGTAGAACATTCCCTTTGGTAGAGCAGGTTTGAAACACTCTTTTTGTAGTATCTGGAAGTGGACATTTGGAGCGCTTTCAGGCCTACGTTGGAAAAGGAAATATCTTCCCATAACAACTAGACAGAAGCATTCTCAGAAACTAGTTTCTGATGTGTGTCCTCAACTAACACAGTTGAACATTTCTTTAGACAGAACAGTTTTGAAACACTCTTTTTGTGGAATCTGCAAGTGGCTATTTGGCTAGATTTGAGGATTTCGTTGGAAACGGGATTACATATAAAAAGCAGTCAGCAGCATTCTCAGAAAGTTCTTTGTGATGATTGCATTCAAGTCACAGAATTGAACATTCCCTTTCACAGAGCAGGTTTGAAACACTCTTTTTGTAGTGTGTGTAAGTGGACATTTGGAGCACTTACCGGCCTAAGGTGAAAAAGGAAATAATCTTCCCATAAAAACTAGACAGAAGCATTCTCAGAAACTTACTCGTGATGTGTGTCCTCAACTAAAGGAGTAGAACCTTTCTTTTCATAGAGAAGTTTTGAAACGCTCTTTTTGTGGAATCTGCAAGTGGATATTTGGCTAGTTTTGAGGATTTCGTTGGAAGCGGGAATTCATACAAATTGCAGACTGCAGCGTTCTGAGAAACATCTTTGTGATGTTTGTATTCAGGACACAGAGTTGAACATTCCCTATCATAGAGCAGGTTGGAATCACTCCTTTTGTAGTATCTGGAAGTGGACATTTGGAGCGCTTTCAGGCCTATGTTGGAAAAGGAAATATCTTCCCATAACAACTAGACAGAAGCATTCTCAGAAACTTATTTGAGATGTGTGTACTCAACTAAGAGAATTGAACCACCGTTTTGAAGGAGCAGTTTTGAAACACTCTTTTTCTGGAATCTGCAAGTGGATATTTAGCTAGATTTGAGGATTTCGTTGGAAACGGGATTACATATACAAAGCAGACAGCAGCGTTCTGAGAAACTGCTTTCTGATGTTTGCATTCAAGTCAAAAGTTGAACACTCCCTTTCATAGAGCAGTCTTGAAACACCCCTTTTGTAGTATCTGGAACTGGACTTTTGGAGCGATTTCAGGGCTAAGGTGAAAAAGGAAATATCTTCCCATAAAAACTGGACAGAAGCATTCTCAGAAACTTGTTTATGCTGTAACTACTCAACTAACAAAGTTGAACCTTTCTTTTGATAGAGCAGTTTTGAAATGGTCTTTTTGTGGAATCTGCAAGTGGATATTTGGCTAGTTTTGAGGATTTCGTTGGAAGCGGGAATTCATACAAATTGCAGACTGCAGCGTTCTGAGAAACATCTTTGTGATGTTTGTATTCAGGACACAGAGTTGAACAATCCCTATCATAGAGCAGGTTGGAATCACTCCTTTTGTAGTATCTGGAAGTGGACATTTGGAGCGCTTTCAGGCCTATGTTGGAAAAGGAAATATCTTCCCATAACAACTAGACAGAAGCATTCTCAGTAAACTTGTTTGTGATGTGTGCCCTCTACTGACAGATTTGAACCTTTCTTTTCATAGAGCAGTTTTGAAACACTCTTTTTGTAGAATCTGGAAGAGGATATTTGCATAGCTTTGAGGATTTCGTGGGAAACGGGATTGTCTTCAGGTAAAATCTAGACAGAAGCATTCTCAGAAACTTCTTTGGGATGTTTGCATTCAAGTCACAGAGCAGAACATTCCCTTTGGTAGAGCAGGTTTGAAACACTCTTTTTGTAGTATCTGGAAGTGGACATTTGGAGCGCTTTCAGGCCTATGTTGGAAAGGGAAATATCTTCCCGTAACAACTAGGCAGAAGCATTCTCAGAAACTTATTTGAGATGTGTGTACTCAACTAAGAGAATTGAACCATCGTTTTGAAGGAGCAGTTTTGAAACACTCTTTTTCTGGAATCTGCAAGAGGATATTTGCCTAGCCTTGAGGATTTCGTTGGAAACGGGATTGTCTTCAGATCAAATCTAGACAGAAGCATTCTCAGAAACTTCTTTGGGATGTTTGCATTCAAGTCACAGAGTAGAACATTCCCTTTGGTAGAGCAGGTTTGAAACACTCTTTTTTTAGTATATGGAAGTGGACATTTGGAGCGCTTTCAGGCCTACGTTGGAAAAGGAAATATCTTCCCATAACAACTAGACAGAAAGCATTCTCAGAAACTAGTTTCTGATGTGTGTCCTCAACTAACACAGTTGTACATTTCTTTGTACAGAACAGTTTTGAAACACTCTTTTTGTGGAATCTGCAAGTGGATATTGGGCTAGATTTGAGGATTTCGTTGGAAACGGGATTACATATAAAAAGCAGTCAGCAGCATTCTCAGAAAGTTCTTTGTGATGATTGCATTCAAGTCACAGAATTGAACATTCCCTTTCATAGAGCAGGTTTGAAACACTCTTTTTGTAGTGTGTGTAAGTGGACATTTGGAGCGCTTTCCGGCCTAAGGTGAAAAAGGACATATCTTCCCATAAAAACTAGACAGAAGCATTCTCAGAAACTTACTCGTGATGTGTGTCCTCAACTAAAGGAGTAGAACCTTTCTATTCATAGAGAAGTTTTGAAACGCTCTTTTTGTGGAATCTCCAAGTGGATATTTGGTTAGTTTTGAGGATTTCGTTGGAAGCGGGAATTCATACAAATTGCAGACTGCAGCGTTCTGAGAAACATCTTTGTGATGTTTGTATTCAAGACACAGAGATGAACATTCCCTATCATAGAGCATGATGGAATCACTCCTTTTGTAGTATCTGGAAGTGGACATTTGGAGCGCTTTCAGGCCTATGTTGAAAAAGGAAATATCTTCCCATAACAACTAGACACAAGCATTCTCAGAAACTTATTTGAGATGTGTGTACTCAACTAAGAGAATTGAACCACCGTTTTGAAGGAGCAGTTTTGAAACACTCTTTTTCTGGAATCTGCAAGTGGATATCTGGCTAGCTTTGGGGATTTCGCTGGAAGCGGGAATACATATAAAAAGCACACAGCAGCGTTCTGAGAAACTTCTTTCTGATGTTCGCATTCAAGTCAAAAGTTGAACACTCCCTTTCATAGAGCAGTCTTGAAACTCCCCTTTTGTGGTATCTGGAAGTGGACATTTGGAGTGCTTTCAGGGCTAAGGTGAAAAAGGAAATATCTTCCCATAAAAACTGGACAGAAGCATTCTCAGAAACTTGTTTATGCTGTATCTACTCAGCTAACAAAGTTGAACCTTTCTTTTGATAGAGCAGTTTTGAAATGCTCTTTTTGTGGAGTCTGCAAGTGGATATTTGGTTAGTTTTGAGGATTTCTTTGGAAGCGGGAATTCATACAAATTGCAGACTGCAGCGTTCTGAGAAACATCTTTGTGATGTTTGTATTCAGGACACAGAGATGAACATTCCCTATCATAGAGCAGGTTGGAATCACTCCTTTTGTAGTATCTGGAAGTGGACATTTGGAGCGCTTTCAGGCCTATGTTGAAAAAGGAAATATCTTCCCATAACAACTAGACACAAGCATTCTAAGAAACTTGTTTGCGATGTGTGCCCTCTACTGACAGAGTTGAACCTTTCTTTTCATAGAGCAGTTTTGAAACACTCTTTTTGTAGAATCTGCAAGAGGATATTTGCATAGCTTTGAGGATTCCGTGGGAAACGGGATTGTCTTCAGGTAAAATCTAGACAGAAGCATTCTCAGAAACTTCTTTGGGATGTTTGCATTCAAGTCACAGAGTAGAACATTCCCTTTGGTAGAGCAGGTTTGAAACACTCTTTTTGTAGTATCTGGAAGTGGACATTTGGAGCACTTTCAGGCCCATGTTGGAAAGGGAAATATCTTCCCGTAACAACTAGGCAGAAGCATTCTCTGAAACTTTTTTGAGATGTGTGTACGCAACTAAGAGAATTGAACCACCGTTTTGAAGGAGCAGTTTTGAAACACTCTTTTTCTGGAATCTGCTAGACGATATTTGCCTAGCCTTGAGGATTTCGTTGGAAACGGGATTGTCTTCAGATAAAATCTAGACAGAAGCATTCTCAGAAACTTCTTTGGGATGTTTGTATTCAAGTCACAGAGTAGAACATTCCCTTTGGTAGAGCAGGTTTGAAACACTCTTTTTTTAGTATATGGAAATGGACATTTGGAGCGCTTTCAGGCCTACGTTGGAAAAGGAAATATCTTCCCATAACAACTAGACAGAAGCATTCTCAGAAACTAGTTTCTGATGTGTGTCCTCAACTAACACAGTTGAACTTTTCTTTAGACAGAACAGTTTTGAAACACTCTTTTTGTGGAATCTGCAAGTGGCTATTTGGCTAGATTTGAGGATTTCGTTGGAAACGGGATTACATATAAAAAGCAGTCAGCAGCATTCTCAGAAAGTTCTTTGTGATGATTGCATTCAAGTCACAGAATTGAACATTCCCTTTCACAGAGCAGGTTTGAAACACTCTTTTTGTAGTGTGTGTAAGTGGACATTTGGAGCACTTACCGGCCTAAGGTGAAAAAGGAAATATCTTCCCATAAAAACTAGACAGAAGCATTCTCAGAAACTTACTCGTGATGTGTGTCCTCAACTAAAGGAGTAGAACCTTTCTTTTCATAGAGAAGTTTTGAAACGCTCTTTTTGTGGAATCTGCAAGTGGATATTTGGCTAGTTTGGAGGATTTCGTTGGAAGCGGGAATTCATACAAATTGCAGACTGCAGCGTTCTGAGAAACATCTTTGTGATGTTTGTATTCAGGACACAGAGTTGAACATTCCCTATCATAGAGCAGGTTTGAATCACTCCTTTTGTAGTATCTGGAAGTGGACATTTGGAGCGCTTTCAGGCCTATGTTGGAAAAGGAAATATCTTCCCATAACAACTAGACAGAAGCATTCTCAGAAACTTATTTGAGATGTGTGTACTCAACTAAGAGAATTGAACCACCGTTTTGAAGGAGCAGTTTTGAAACACTCTTTTTCTGGAATCTGCAAGTGGATATTTGGCTAGATTTGGGGATTTCGCTGGAAGCGGGAATACATATAAAAAGCACACAGCAGCGTTCTGAGAAACTGCTTTCTGATGTTTGCATTCAAGTCAAAAGTTGAACACTCCCTTTCATAGAGCAGTCCTGAAACACTCCTTTTGTAGTATCTGGAACTGGACTTTTGGAGCGCTTTCAGGGCTAAGGTGAAAAAGGAAATATCTTCCCATAAAAACTGGACAGAAGCATTCTCAGAAACTTGTTTATGCTGTATCTACTCAACTAACAAAGTTGAACCTTTCTTTTGATAGAGCAGTTTTGAAATGCTCTTTTTGTGGAATCTGCAAGTGGATATTTGGCTAGTTTTGAGGATTTTCGTTGGAAGCCGGAATTCATACAAATTGCAGACTGCAGCGTTCTGAGAAACATCTTTGTGATGTTTGTATTCAGGACAGAGAGTTGAACATTCCCTATCATAGAGCAGGTTGGAATCACTCCTTTTGTAGTATCTGGAAGTGGACATTTGGAGCGCTTTCAGGCCTATGTTGAAAAAGGAAATATCTTCCCATAACAACTAGACACAAGCATTCTCAGAAACTTGTTTGTGATGTGTGCCCTCTACTGACAGAGTTGAACCTTTCTTTTCATAGAGCAGTTTTGAAACACTCTTTTTGTAGAATCTGCAAGAGGATATTTGCATAGCTTTGAGGATTTCGTGGGAAACGGGATTGTCTTCAGGTAAAATCTAGACAGAAGCATTCTCAGAAACTTCTTTGGGATGTTTCCATTCAAGTCACAGAGCAGAACATTCCCTTTGGTAGAGCAGGTTTGAAACACTCTTTTTGTAGTATCTGGAAGTGGACATTTGGAGCGCTTTCAGGCCTATGTTGGAAAGGGAAATATCTTCCCGTAACAACTAGGCAGAAGCATTCTCAGAAACTTATTTGAGATGTGTGTACTCAACTAAGAGAATTGAACCACCGTTTTGAAGGAGCAGTTTTGAAACACTCTTTTTCTGGAATCTGCAAGAGGATATTTGCCTAGCCTTGAGGATTTCGTTGGAAACGGGATTGTCTTCAGATCAAATCTAGACAGAAGCATTCTCAGAAACTTCTTTGGGATGTTTGCATTCATGTCACAGAGTAGAACATTCCCTTTGGTAGAGCAGGTTTGAAACACTCTTTTTTTAGTATATGGAAGTGGACATTTGGAGCGCTTTCAGGCCTACGTTGGAAAAGGAAATATCTTCCCATAACAACTAGACAGAAGCATTCTCAGAAACTAGTTTCTGATGTGTGTCCTCAACTAACACAGTTGAACATTTCTTTAGACAGAACAGTTTTGAAACACTCTTTTTGTGGAATCTGCAAGTGGCTATTTGGCTAGATTTGAGGATTTCGTTGGAAACGGGATTACATATAAAAAGCAGACAGCAGCATTCTCAGAAAGTTCTTTGGGATGATTGCATTCAAGTCACAGAATTGAACATTCCCTTTCACAGAACAGGTTTGAAACACTCTTTTTGTAGTGTGTGTAAGTGGACATTTGGAGCACTTTCCGGCCTAAGGTGAAAAAGGAAATATCTTCCCATAAAAACTAGACAGAAGCATTCTCAGAAACTTACTCGTGATGTGTGTCCTCAACTAAAGGAGTAGAACCTTTCTTTTCATAGAGAAGTTTTGAAACGCTCTTTTTGTGGAATCTGCAAGTGGATATTTGGCTAGTTTGGAGGATTTCGTTGGAAGCGGGAATTCATACAAATTGCAGACTGCAGCGTTCTGAGAAACATCTTTGTGATGTTTGTATTCAGGACACAGAGATGAACATTCCCTATCATAGAGCATGTTGGAATCACTCCTTTTGTAGTATCTGGAAGTGGACATTTGGAGCGCTTTCAGGCCTATGTTGAAAAAGGAAATATCTTCCCATAACAACTAGACACAAGCATTCTCAGAAACTTGTTTGTGATGTGTGCCCTCTACTGACAGAGTTGAACCTTTCTTTTCATAGAGCAGTTTTGAAACACTCTTTTTGTAGAATCCGCAAGAGGATATTTGCATAGCTTTGAGGATTTCGTGGGAAACGGGATTGTCTTCAGGTAAAATCTAGACAGAAGCATTCTCAGAAACTTCTTTGGGATGTTTGCATTCAAGTCACAGAGTAGAACATTCCCTTTGGTAGAGTAGGTTTGAAACACTCTTTTTGTAGTATCTGGAAGTGGACATTTGGAGCGCTTTCAGGCCCATGTTGGAAAGGGAAATATCTTCCCGTAACAACTAGGCAGAAGGATTCTCAGAAACTTATTTGAGATGTGTGTACTCAACTAAGAGAATTGAACCACCGTTTTGAAGGAGCAGTTTTGAAACACTCTTTTTCTGGAATCTGCAAGAGTATATTTTCCTAGCCTTGAGGATTTCGTTGGAAACGGGATTGTCTTCAGATAAAATCTAGACAGAAGCATTCTCAGAAACTTCTTTGGGATGTTTGCATTCAAGTCACAGAGTAGAACATTCCCTTTGGTAGAGCAGGTTTGAAACACTCTTTTTTTAGTATATGGAAGTGGACATTTGGAGCGCTTTCAGGCCTACGTTGGAAAAGGAAATATCTTCCCATAACAACTAGACAGAAGCATTCTCAGAAACTAGTTTCTGATGTGTGTCCTCAACTAACACAGTTGAACATTTCTTTAGACAGAACAGTTTTGAAACACTCTTTTTGTGGAATCTGCAAGTGGCTATTTTGCTAGATTTGAGGATTTCGTTGGAAACGGGATTACATATAAAAAACAGACAGCAGCATTCTCAGAAAGTTCTTTGTGATGATTGCATTCAAGTCACAGAATTGAACATTCCCTTTCACAGAGCAGGTTTCAAAAACACTCTTTTTGTAGTGTGTGTAAGTGGACATTTGGAGCACTTTCCGGCCTAAGGTGAAAAAGGGAATATCTTCCCATAAAAACTAGACAGAAGCATTCTCAGAAACTTACTCGTGATGTGTGTCCTCAACTAAAGGAGTAGAACCTTTGTTTTCATAGAGAAGTTTTGAAACGCTCTTTTTGTGGAATCTGCAAGTGGATATTTGGCTAGTTTGGAGGATTTCGTTGGAAGCGGGAATTCATACAAATTGCAGACTGCAGCGTTCTGAGAAACATCTTTGTGATGTTTGTATTCAGGACACAGAGTTGAACATTCCCTATCATAGAGCAGGTTGGAATCACTCCTTTTGTAGTATCTGGAAGTGGACATTTGGAGCGCTTTCAGGCCTATGTTGGAAAAGGAAATATCTTCCCATAACAACTAGACAGAAGCATTCTCAGAAACTTATTTGAGATGTGTGTACTCAACTAAGAGAATTGAACCACCGTTTTGAAGGAGCAGTTTTGAAACACTCTTTTTCTGGAATCTGCAAGTGGATATTTGGCTAGCTTTGGGGATTTCGCTGGAAGCGGGAATACATATAAAAAGCACACAGCAGCGTTCTGAGAAACTGCTTTCTGATGTTTGCATTCAAGTCAAAAGTTGAACACTCCCTTTCATAGAGCAGTCCTGAAACACTCCTTTTGTAGTATCTGGAACTGGACTTTTGGAGCGCTTTCAGGGCTAAGGTGAAAAAGGAAATATCTTCCCATAAAAACTGGACAGAAGCATTCTCAGAAACTTGTTTATGCTGTATCTACTCAACTAACAAAGTTGAACCTTTCTTTTGATAGAGCAGTTTTGAAATGCTCTTTTTGTGGAATCTGCAAGTGGATATTTGGCTAGTTTTGAGGATTTCGCTGGAAGCGGGAATTCATACAAATTGCAGACTGCAGCGTTCTGAGAAACATCTTTGTGATGTTTGTATTCAGGACACAGAGTTGAACATTCCCTATCATAGAGCAGGTTTGAATCACTCCTTTTGTAGTATCTGGAAGTGGACATTTGGAGCGCTTTCAGGCCTATGTTGGAAAAGGAAATATCTTCCCATAACAACTAGACAGAAGCATTCTCAGAAACTTATTTGAGATGTGTGTACTCAACTAAGAGAATTGAACCACCGTTTTGAAGGAGCAGTTTTGAAACCCTCTTTTTCTGGAATCTGCAAGTGGATATTTGGCTAGCTTTGGGGATTTCGCTGGAAGCGGGAATACATATAAAAAGCACACAGCAGCATTCTCAGAAACTTATTTGAGATGTGTGTACTCAACTAAGAGAATTGAACCACCGTTTTGAAGGAGCAGTTTTGAAACACTCTTTTTCTGGAATCTGCAAGTGGATATTTGGCTAGCTTTGGGGATTTCGCTGGAAGCGGGAATACATATAAAAAGCACACAGCAGCGTTCTGAGAAACTGCTTTCTGATGTTTGCATTCAAGTCAAAAGTTGAACACTCCCTTTCATAGAGCAGTCTTGAAACACCCCTTTTGTAGTATCTGGAACTGGACTTTTGGAGCGATTTCAGGGCTAAGTTGAAAAAGGAAATATCTTCCCATAAAAACTGGACAGAAGCATTCTCAGAAACTTGGTTATGCTGTATCTACTCAACTAACAAAGTTGAACCTTTCTTTTGATAGAGCAGTTTTGAAATGGTCTTTTTGTGGAATCTGCAAGTGGATATTTGGCTAGTTTTGAGGATTTCGTTGGAAGCGGGAATTCATACAAATTGCAGACTGCAGCGTTCTGAGAAACATCTTTGTGATGTTTGTATTCAGGACACAGAGTTGAACATTCCCTATCATAGAGCAGGTTGGAATCACTCCTTTTGTAGTATCTGGAAGTGGACATTTGGAGCGCTTTCAGGCCTATTTTGGAAAGGGAAATATCTTCCCGTAACAACTATGCAGAAGCATTCTCAGAAACTTGTTTGTGATGTGTGCCCTCTACTGACAGAGTTGAACCTTTCTTTTCATAGAGCAGTTTTGAAACACTCTTTTTGTAGAATCCGCAAGAGGATATTTGCATAGCTTTGAGGATTTCGTGGGAAACGGGATTGTCTTCAGGTAAAATCTAGACAGAAGCATTCTCAGAAACTTCTTTGGGATGTTTGCATTCAAGTCACAGAGTAGAACATTCCCTTTGGTAGAGTAGGTTTGAAACACTCTTTTTGTAGTATCTGGAAGTGGACATTTGGAGCGCTTTCAGGCCCATGTTGGAAAGGGAAATATCTTCCCGTAACAACTAGGCAGAAGCATTCTCAGAAACTTATTTGAGATGTGTGTACTCAACTAAGAGAATTGAACCACCGTTTTGAAGGAGCAGTTTTGAAACACTCTTTTTCTGGAATCTGCAAGAGTATATTTGCCTAGCCTTGAGGATTTCGTTGGAAACGGGATTGTCTTCAGAGAAAATCTAGACAGAAGCATTCTCAGAAACTTCTTTGGGATGTTTGCATTCAAGTCACAGAGTAGAACATTCCCTTTGGTAGAGCAGGTTTGAAACACTCTTTTTTTAGTATATGGAAGTGGACTTTTTGATCGCTTTCAGGCCTACGTTGGAAAAGGAAATATCTTCCCATAACAACTAGACAGAAGCATTCTCAGAAACTAGTTTCTGATGTGTGTCCTCAACTAACACAGTTGAACATTTCTTTAGACAGAACAGTTTGAAACACTCTTTTTGTGGAATCTGCAAGTGGCTATTTGGCTAGATTTGAGGATTTCGTTGGAAACGGGATTACATATAAAAAGCAGACAGCAGCATTCTCAGAAAGTTCTTTGTCATGATTGCATTCAAGTCACAGAATTGAACATTCCCTTTCACAGAGCAGGTTTGAAACACTCTTTTTGTAGTGTGTGTAAGTGGACATTTGGAGCGCCTTCCGGCCTAAGGTGAAAAAGGAAATATCTTCCCATAAAAACTAGACAGAAGCATTCTCAGAAACTTACTCGTGATGTGTGTCCTCAACTAAAGGAGTAGAACCTTTCTTTTCATAGAGAAGTTTTGAAACGCTCTTTTTGTGGAATCTGCAAGTGGATATTTGGCTAGTTTTGAGGATTTCGTTGGAAGCGGGAATTCATACAAATTGCAGACTGCAGCGTTCTGAGAAACATCTTTGTGATGTTTGTATTCAGGACACAGAGTTGAACATTCCCTATCATAGAGCAGGTTTGAATCACTCCTTTTGTAGTATCTGGAAGTGGACATTTGGAGCGCTTTCAGGCCTATGTTGGAAAAGGAAATATCTTCCCATAACAACTAGACAGAAGCATTCTCAGAAACTTATTTCAGATGTGTGTACTCAATTAAGAGAATTGAACCACCGTTTTGAAGGAGCAGTTTTGAAACTCTCTTTTTGTAGAATCTGCACGTGGATATTTGGCTAGCTTTGGGGATTTCGCTGGAAGCGGGAATACATATAAAAAGCACACAGCAGCGTTCTGAGAAACTGCTTTCTGATGTTTGCATTCAAGTCAAAAGTTGAACACTCCCTTTCATAGAGCAGTCTTGAAACACCCCTTTTGTAGTATCTGGAACTGGACTTTTGGAGCGATTTCAGGGCTAAGGTGAAAAAGGAAATATCTTCCCATAAAAACTGGACAGAAGCATTCTCAGAAACTTGGTTATGCTGTATCTACTCAACTAACAAAGTTGAACCTTTCTTTTGATAGAGCAGTTTTGAAATGGTCTTTTTGTGGAATCTGCAAGTGGATATTTGGCTAGTTTTGAGGATTTCGTTGGAAGCGGGAATTCATACAAATTGCAGACTGCAGCGTTCTGAGAAACATCTTTGTGATGTTTGTATTCAGGACACAGAGTTGAACATTCCCTATCATAGAGCAGGTTGGAATCACTCCTTTTGTAGTATCTGGAAGTGGACATTTGGAGCGCTTTCAGGCCTATTTTGGAAAGGGAAATATCTTCCCGTAACAACTATGCAGAAGCATTCTCAGAAACTTGTTTGTGATGTGTGCCCTCTACTGACAGAGTTGAACCTTTCTTTTCATAGAGCAGTTTTGAAACACTCTTTTTGTAGAATCTGCAAGAGGATATTTGCATAGCTTTGAGGATTTCGTGGGAAACGGGATTGTCTTCAGGTAAAATCTAGACAGAAGCATTCTCAGAAACTTCTTTGGGATGTTTGCATTCAAGTCACAGAGTAGAACATTCCCTTTGGTAGAGCAGGTTTGAAACACTCTTTTTGTAGTATCTGGAAGTGGACATTTGGAGCGCTTTCAGGCCTATGTTGGTAAGGGAAATATCTTCCCGTAACAACTAGGCAGAAGCATTCTCAGAAACTTATTTGAGATGTGTGTACTCAACTAAGAGAATTGAACCACCGTTTTGAAGGAGCAGTTTTGAAACACTCTTTTTCTGGAATCTGCAAGAGGATATTTGCCTAGCTTTGAGGATTTCGTTGGAAACGGGATTGTCTTCAGATCAAATCTAGACAGAAGCATTCTCAGAAACTTCTTTGGGATGTTTGCATTCAAGTCACAGAGTAGAACATTCCCTTTGGTAGAGCAGGTTTGAAACACTCTTTTTTTAGTATATGGAAGTGGACATTTGGAGCGCTTTCAGGCCTACGTTGGAAAAGGAAATATCTTCCCATAACAACTAGACAGAAGCATTCTCAGAAACTAGTTTCTGATGTGTGTCCTCAACTAACACAGTTGTACATTTCTTTAGACAGAACAGTTTTGAAACACTCTTTTTGTGGAATCTGCAAGTGGATATTGGGCTAGATTTGAGGATTTCGTTGGAAACGGGATTACATATAAAAAGCAGACAGCAGCATTCTCAGAAAGTTCTTTGTGATGATTGCATTCAAGTCACAGAATTGAACATTCCCTTTCACAGAGCAGGTTTGAAACACTCTTTTTGTAGTGTGTGTAAGTGGACATTTGGAGCACTTACCGGCCTAAGGTGAAAAAGGAAATATCTTCCCATAAAAACTAGACAGAAGCATTCTCAGAAACTTACTCGTGATGTGTGTCCTCAACTAACGGAGTAGAACCTTTCTTTTCATAGAGAAGTTTTGAAACGCTCTTTTTGTGGAATCTGCAAGTGGATATTTGGCTAGTTTTGAGGATTTCGTTGGAAGCGGGAATTCATACAAATTGCAGACTGCAGCGTTCTGAGAAACATCTTTGTGATGTTTGTATTCAGGACACAGAGTTGAACATTCCCTATCATAGAGCAGGTTGGAATCACTCCTTTTGTAGTATCTGGAAGTGGACATTTGGAGCGCTTTCAGGCCTATGTTGGAAAAGGAAATATCTTCCCATAACAACTAGACAGAAGCATTCTCAGAAACTTATTTGAGATGTGTGTACTCAACTAAGAGAATTGAACCACCGTTTTGAAGGAGCAGTTTTGAAACACTCTTTTTCTGGAATCTGCAAGTGGATATTTGGCTAGCTTTGGGGATTTCGCTGGAAGCGGGAATACATATAAAAAGCACACAGCAGCGTTCTGAGAAACTGCTTTCTGATGTTTGCATTCAAGTCAAAAGTTGAACACTCCCTTTCATAGAGCAGTCTTGAAACACCCCTTTTGTAGTATCCGGAAGTGGACATTTGGAGCGCTTTCAGGGCTAAGGTGAAAAAGGAAATATCTTCCCATAAAAACTGGACAGAAGCATTCTCAGAAACTTGTTTATGCTGTATCTACTCTACTAACAAAGTTGAACCTTTCTTTTGATAGGGCAGTTTTGAAATGCTCTTTTTGTGGAATCTGCAAGTGGATATTTGGCTAGTTTTGAGGATTTCGTTGGAAGCTGGAATTCATACAAATTGCAGACTGCAGCGTTCTGAGAAACATCTTTGTGATGTTTGTATTCAGGACACAGAGTTGAACATTCCCTATCATAGAGCAGGTTGGAATCACTCCTTTTGTGGTATCTGGAAGTGGACATTTGGAGCGCTTTCAGGCCTATGTTGGAAAAGGAAATATCTTCCCATAACAACTAGACAGAAGCATTCTCAGAAACTTGTTTGTGATGTGTGCCCTCTACTGACAGAGTTGAACCTTTCTTTTCATAGAGCAGTTTTGAAACACTCTTTTTGTAGAATCTGCAAGAGGATATTTGCATAGCTTTGAGGATTTCGTGGGAAACGGGATTGTCTTCAGGTAAAATCTAGACAGAAGCATTCTCAGAAACTTCTTTGGGATGTTTGCATTCAAGTCACAGAGTAGAACATTCCCTTTGGTAGAGCAGGTTTGAAACACTCTTTTTGTAGTATCTGGAAGTGGACATTTGAAGCGCTTTCAGGCCTATGTTGGAAAGGGAAATATCTTCCCGTAACAACTAGGCAGAAGCATTCTCAGAAACTTATTTGAGATGTGTGTACTCAACTAAGAGAATTGAACCACCGTTTTGAAGGAGCAGTTTTGAAACACTCTTTTTCTGGAATCTGCTAGAGTATATTTGCCTAGCTTTGAGGATTTCGTTGGAAACGGGATTGTCTTCAGATAAAATCTAGACAGAAGCATTCTCAGAAACTTCTTTGGGATGCTTGCATTCAAGTCACAGAGTAGAACATTCCCTTTGGTAGAGCAGGTTTGAAACACTCTTTTTGTAGTATCTGGAAGTGGACATTTGGAGCGCTTTCAGGCCTACGTTGGAAAAGGAAATATCTTCCCATAACAACTAGACAGAAGCATTCTCAGAAACTAGTTTCTGATGTGTGTCCTCAACTAACACAGTTGTACATTTCTTTATACAGAACAGTTTTGAAACACTCTTTTTGTGGAATCTGCAAGTGGATATTTGGCTAGATTTGAGTATTTCGTTGGAAACGGGATTACATATAAAAAGCAGTCAGCAGCATTCTCAGAAAGTTCTTTGTGATGATTGTATTCAAGTCACAGAATTGAACATTCCCTTTCACAGAGCAGGTTTGAAACACTCTTTTTGTAGTGTGTGTAAGTGGACATTTGGAGCGCTTTCCGGCCTAAGGTGAAAAAGGACATATCTTCCCATAAAAACTAGACAGAAGCATTCTCAGAAACTTACTCGTGATGTGTGTCCTCAACTAAAGGAGTAGAACATTTCTATTCATAGAGAAGTTTTGAAACGCTCTTTTTGTGGAATCTCCAAGTGGATATTTGGCTAGTTTTGAGGATTTCGTTGGAAGCGGGAATTCATACAAATTGCAGACTGCAGCGTTCTGAGAATCATCTTTGTGATGTTTGTATTCTGGACACAGAGATGAACATTCCCTATCATAGAGTAGGTTGGAATCACTCCTTTTGTAGTATCTGGAAGTGGACATTTGGAGCGCTTTCAGTCCTATGTTGAAAAAGGAAATATCTTCCCATAACAACTAGACACAAGCATTCTCAGAAACTTATTTGAGATGTGTGTACTCAACTAAGAGAATTGAACCACCGTTTTGAAGGAGCAGTTTTGAAACACTCTTTTTCTGGAATCTGCAAGTGGCTATTTGGCTAGCTTTGGGGATTTCGCTGGAAGCGGGAATACATATAAAAAGCACACAGCAGCGTTCTGAGAAACTGCTTTCTGATGTTTGCATTCAAGTCAAAAGTTGAACACTCCCTTTCATAGAGCAGTCCTGAAACACTCCTTTTGTAGTATCTGGAACTGGACTTTTGGAGCGCTTTCAGGGCTAAGGTGAAAAAGGAAATATCTTCCCATAAAAACTGGACAGAAGCATTCTCAGAAACTTGTTTATGCTGTATCTACTCAACTAACAAAGTTGAACCTTTCTTTTGATAGAGCAGTTTTGAAATGGTCTTTTTGTGGAATCTGCAAGTGGATATTTGGCTAGTTTTGAGGATTTCGTTGGAAGCGGGAATTCATACAAATTGCAGACTGCTGAAAAGCCAAGGCGGACGGATCACAAGGTCAGTAAATCGAGACCATCCTGGCCAACATGAAGAAACGCCGTCTCTACTAAAAATACAAAAAAAAAATAACTAGGTGTGGTGGCGGGCGCCTGAAATCCCAAATAAACAAGAGGCTGCGGTAGGAGAATGGTGTGAACCCGGAAAACATAACTAGACAAAAGCTGAGA
Organism: Homo sapiens; assembly: GCF_000001405.40. Lineage (NCBI taxonomy): Eukaryota > Metazoa > Chordata > Mammalia > Primates > Hominidae > Homo > Homo sapiens. The sequence continues at coordinate 19,182,594 of NC_000018.10, forward strand.
TTGTGCCACCGCACTAAAACCTGGGCGACAGAGCGAGACTCCGACTCAAAAAAAAAAAAAAAAAAATAGACCAAAGTCAAAAAGGTTGGACTTTGTTCAAAAATAAAAAAACAGGGTGTGTGTGTGTGTGTGTGCATGGGTGTGTTTTAAACATTTTAATGAAGGCCTAAGTGTGACAACTTGAATTTTATAATGAAAAAGTTTAAAAAAAAAAACATTCACATACAAATCATGTCTTAAAATTTTCAAAATAAGAGATTCTGGCCAGGAGCGGAGGGGAATGTTCAACTCTGTGTCCTGAATACAAACATCACAAAAATGTTTCTCAAAACGCTGC